>NC_000012.12:39278309-39429824 GCF_000001405.40 Homo sapiens | reverse complement strand
CCCTCTCCATCTACCTGAAACTCTATTTTTCCTCTTCTAGGTAATATCTAATAACTAACCATAATTTCTTTCAAAATCACCTTAAGATAGGGTTAATTTCTTTGGTGAGTTCCTGTTTATAAAACCACACTTTCATCTTGGTTGGTTTCTTTATCCGTGAAGTGGAGGTAATAAGAGTACTAACATAATAGGATCGTTATGAGAATTAATTGACATAAAGCACTCAGAATAATGTCTGGCACATAGTAATCCTGAAATGTTAGTTGGGACTAACTTGCAAAAATCTATTTCTTTAACAGAGATTCTTTCTAGTCTTCACTTGGGCCCCCTTTTTACAATTTATTATGTCTGTCTTCAATGATGAAGAAAAGGGATGATAATAGTGCATTTATATTTGATAATATGTGACCTTGATATTACCAGTCAAAGCTATTAGCATTGTATTTATATGATAGAATGGATATCTTGAATTATCTTTAATGAATATGTTGAGTTGTGAAAGTTAAGACTGAGATGATTAAACCCCCTAGAGCAGTTTGAATAAAATGTTTTCTTAATCTTTGTTCTCTGTTGGTATGTGTGTTAATGGAAATTCATTCCTTTTCTGTTTATCTTTGACATGGGGGATACTTATTTATTTCTAGTTGGTTAGCAGGCAAGGTGAGCTCTTTGGCATATTAATCCTTAAACCTCTTAAATATATTGCTTAATATGTCATTAATCTGAGCACACCTCTACTTATACCAACAAGGTTTTTACTAAGACCCCATAATTGATCACACACACACATACTTTATATTTAAACTATAAGTGAACATCTCATTTCCATGTGTCATGTCTAATTTGAAGTCCTTTTTTTTTTTTTTTTGAGACGGAGTCTCTCTCTGTCACCAGGCTGGAGTGCAGTGACAACATCCCGGCTCACTGCAACCTCTGACTCCCCGGTTCAAGTGATTCTCCTGCCTCAGCCTCCCGAGTAGCTAGGATTACAGGCATACGCCACCACGTCCAGCTAATTTTTGTATTTTTAGTAGAGCCAGGGTTTCACCATGTTGGCCAGGATGGTTTCGATCTCCTGACCTCATGATCCGCCCACCTCGGCCTCCCAAAGTGCTGGGATTACAGGTGTGAGCCACGGTAATTTGAAGTCATTTTTAAAGATTGACTGAAGTGACAGTTCCTTTGCTAACTTAGCAAAGACATTTGATTAATTTTACTTTTCCTCTTTGTAGTTATGAGACAAGTCACATTGCATATTATAAAAATTTTAATTACCATGGTTAAATAAGAAAAATCAATTAACAATTATTTGTGACTCTGTTTTTTCTAAGGATCTTACTCAATAATTGGGTCTTGATTGTTGACACAATAATAGCCACTGAAACCTTTGACTAGATAACTAGTTTTGTTTGGGTTGAAAAACAAGTTTCTGAGAGATAAGGTATCAACAAATGAGGTCTGAAACTTAAATGATCCTGAAAACAACCTTCACTTTTTAAGACAAACCTTTTTAGAAAGCAAACTTGATTGAATTGTTAAAACAAATACCTTTTGAGTCCTTCACAAAAGTTGGTTTACTGTGAAATGAAATACTGTCAGATGGACCTAGAATATTTGTGGTAGACAGTTAAGTGGACTATTGAGGATGACTAAGAAAGCCCTATTTGCTGTCTTTGACAAGGAAGAATCATCCACATATAAGCTATTAGGATAATGAACACAATAGTAGGACTAGACTAAGAATGAACATTCTTCAAAATCATCCCTACCCATACTGCACAGCAGAGGCTTATATATTTGAATTGTTTTCTGTGCCTTGTGATGAGAACCATGTTCTCTGTTTACCTTTAGAAAGAAAAAGATGTGGCTGGGCGCGGGTGGCTCATGCTTGTAATCTCAGCACTTTGGGAGGCTGAGGCAGCTGGATCATCTGAGGTCAGGAGCTTGAGATCAGCCTGGCCAACATGGTGAAACCCCATCTCTATTAACAATACAAAAATTAGCTGGGTGTGGTGGCAGGCACCTGTAATCTCAGCTACTCAGGAGGCTGAGACAGGAGAATTGCTTGAACCCAGGAAGTGGAGGTTGCAGTGAGCCCAGGCTGTGCCACTGCACTCCAGACTGGGCAACAGAGAGAGACCGTCTCAAACAAACAAACAAAAAAGATGCAATAGCAGTCATCTTTGTGGTTTGTGGTTTTCTTTTCTTTTGGACTATCAAATATGTTTATTTGCACATTGCATAATTTTCTTTTTACTATTGAATATTTTAAAATGAACTTTGATGATGAAAAGTAATGCTGTTGGACTTTGAGTTCAAATCCCTTCTGTTTCACTGACTTCCTTTGAGGTAGTAGCGGTGTAAAAGTAACCCTGTGAAAAATAACGTTACCCCTCTCTATGAGTCAGGTCCTTTTGTGTGTAAAGTAGATAATACTACTGTTGAGTATATTACAGGCATTTTGGAAAGTACAGCTAGTAAAAATGTAAAAAGAAAGCTATTGCTCCAAGTTCATTGTAGGCACAGCAGAAGTTACTAAAGTATTCCGATATCTAAAGAAACAAAATTTTTAAGGATAATAAGTAACTTCCATCCCTGACCATTCCAATTTATTTCAGCTCAGATCCATTCCATGTGTTTTAATTTAGTTCAGTTCCGTTTATTAGTTACTGAGCCCCACTAGATCAAGTGCACTCAACATAGTTTGATGGGGAAATGCAAGATGATTCAGATAGGGGTTTTGCCCTCAGTCCAGCTGGGAGAGCCTTGCATGTCTACACAAGACCTGATGGCTCTCCCATGAAACATGCCAAAAATGAAGTATGAACACATTATGTGTAAGCTATTAGTTTGCCCCTCCAGCCACTATAATCACATTAGCTACTTTCTCAGACAGTAAAACGATTTCTTAATTTTCTTTCTTTTCTTTTTTTTTTTTTTTTTAACAGAGTCTCACTCTGTCACCCAGGCTGGAATGCAGTGGTGTGATCTCACCTCACTGTAATCTGTGCCTGCTGGGTTCAGGCAATCCTTGTGCCTCAGCCTCCCAAGTAGCTGGGATTACCAGCATCCACCACCATGCCCAGCTATTTTTTTTTTTTTTTTTGTATTTTTAGTAGAGATGGGGTTTCACCATGTTGGCCAGGCTGGTCTCAAACTCCTGGCTTCAAGTGATCTGCCCACCTCGGCCTCACAAAGTGCTGGGATTACAGGCGTGAGCCACCGTGCCCGGCCTTAATTTCCAAAATAGTAATGTAAATGCTTCTTAATAATGATATAAGTCCCATGACATCTGGTCTTTGCCTTATCTTTGACATAGCCTCCTTGGTTTATTTGCTTTCTCTTCTCTAATGCTTTTTTAATTTCCATGCTCATTCCATTTTTAAAAATACCTCTCCATGAATTTATTCCTATTTTCATCACATATGTTAAATGCAAATATTTATTGACGACTGTTCATCCACACATACAAGGATATGAGTACACGCATACATGCGTGTACATGTGTGTATACTCACACATATTCGCAACATCCTTTTCTCACACAGTTAGTTAATAACATCCATTTAGAGTGGACAGCTTGAATTTTAGTGAGGTAGAAAGCTTTTATGGAAATTTCTTAAAATATTCCAATTCTAAAAATATTTTGAATACAATTTAAGACTCCTTTGTTAACTGCTTATTTTTTTTCGTATGTTTCCATTTCATCAATCTCAGTGTCTTGTGGGTACCAGCCAGTTTTGTCTTGGTAGACCGATTACCTGTTTTATCATTCAAAGACCCAAAGACCCAAGGCAGGGTAAACATTTATTATTGGTGGAGTTTTGCTGTTGAATCTTGCATAGATTTCTAGATGTCCTTGACAGCTCCATTTTTTTTTTTTTTTTTTTTTAGTTTCTAATCTTACTTCTGTTAGATGTATCTTTCAGAGTAGCTAGCTCTTGTTATAAGGAAGCGGCAGAAACATGATTTCCTGAGGAAAATGGGCTCTGACATTAGGAGACTTGCTTGAACCTGACTCCTTTCCTAGTTTTTAACCTTGGGTGGATTCTTTAATCTGCCTAAGCCTCTGTTCCCTCATCTGTAAAAGGATATTGATAATATATGCCTCAAAAAATTATTCTCTTTTAAGGACGCCTTTCCTAATTCTATCATATTCTCAACACTTATAACCCCTCCATGTATATAATTTATATTATATGACAGTAAGTTTATTCATAGATTGCTTTGTAAACAGTTATCTTTAGTATCTTGGGCTTATGTTGGTTTTTTATTCCTCCTCCAATTCATTGTGAATTACTCAAAAGCAAGGATAGGCTCTTTTATTTCTTGTTTGTCCTCTGTCTGGATGCTTAATACATCAGCAGGCACATAGCTCTGGTCTTTAACATCAGAGGTGAAAAATATAATTTACTTCGGATTATTCTTACGGAGACTTTATTCAGTCTGTCAAAAACCATTTGACTGCCACTGGTGTGCCTGGAAGGGAGTTCTGGGTATTGAGGGTACAGATGTGAGCAAGACAAGAGCTTTAATTCTCAAGGAGCTGAGCATTGGGTGAGGATAGAGACAATAAATATTTTTTTTTAAATCCAGATATTGATATATACTATGGAGAGGGTAAAACAATATGCTTGATAGTAGTTGTCCTTGGTTGGGAGGAGTCATTTGAGTTGAGACCTGAATATTGGAAAATGAGCCATGAGAAGACCTGAGAGAACAGCATTCCAGCAAAAGCAAGTGAAAAAGGGCTAAGAAATAAACTGGCCTGTTAGTGGACAGGTGAGAAGGACAGTATAGCCAGATATAGAAAATAGAACCGAGGGTGAAGATAGGTAAGATCGGAGAGGTAGGTAGAGAGGTAAGATCATTAAGGGCCTTATAGGTCTGGGTGGAAATTTTAGACTTCGCTTTTAGTGAGAAATCTTTAGAGAGCTTCAAGTAGAGATGTGACATGATCTAATATGCATTTCAGAAAGATAACTCTTGTTGCTCGGTACAAGGTGGACTGTATTATAAGAGGTGAAAATGTAGGAGATGAGTGAGAAAGCAGTTATTATGTTCCAGGAGTGACATAAAGGTGGCTTGGGCTAAAAAAATAACAGTACAAATGGTGAAACGTAGATTTGGGGAGATAGAGCTGTTAGGACTTGCTGGCAAAGGGTGTGATGAAAAGAAAAGGATCAAGTAGATTCTTAGGCTTGGGGCTTTGAGGTGAAATTGATTTTTTGGGGGTGAGATTAATAGTTCTATATTGTCTGTGTTGAAATTGTTGTGCATATTGGACATTCTAATAAAGATGTCAAGTCAGTTATTTAATCTATGAGTTTGGATCACAGGGAAGATGTCTGGTCTGAAGATAAACTTTTGAGAGTCAACAGCATTTAGATGTTTGCAGCCATGGCTTTGGATGCATTCATCCATGAAGAGGGAAAATTTAGAGAAGACTTATGGGGAAAGAGCTCTGGAACACTAATATTTATAGGCCAAGAAGAGAAGATCTAGTCAAGGATACTGGAGAAGAGCGGTTAGTAGTAGTGAGGTAGGAGAAAGCAGTGAGAGTATGTTGTCCTAAAAGTTGACTTTAGATGTTGCTGAGAAGTCAAGTAAGATGTGAGCAAAAGTTGGCCATTGCCTTTGGTTGGAGTTAAGTTATTTATGACTCAAATATGAGCTGCTTTAGTGGAGTGCTTGATTACAGTAGGTTAATGAGACAATGCTAGGCAAGGAAGCAGAAACAGTGGTATCAAATAATGCATGTAAGTTGTTGGATATGAGAGTGGGAAGATGAAGTAGTTCTCTTCTGACTGCCTTTTTTTTTTTTTTTTTTTTTTTTTTTTTGAGACAGAGTCTTGCTCTGTCCCCCAGGCTGGAGTGCAGTGGCGCAATCTCGGCTCACTGCAACCTCCGCCTCCCAGGTTCAAGTGATTCTCCTGCCTCAGCCTCTTGAGTAGCCAGGACTACAGGCATGCGCCACCATGCCCAGCTAATTTTTGTATTTTTTAAGTAGAGATGGGGTTTCACTGTGTTGGCCAGGGTGGTCTCGATCTCTTGACATCGTGATCCACCTGCCTTGCCTTCCCAAAGTGCTGGGATTACAGGCATGAGCCACCATGCCCTGCCTAATTTTGTATTTTTAGTAGAGACGGGGTTTCTCCATGTTGGTCAGGCTGGTCTCAAACTCCTGACCTCAGGTGATCCACTAGCCTCTGCCTCCCAAAGTGCTGAGACTACAGCGTGAGCCACGGCGCCCAGCCTGCATTTTTTTTTTTTAACAAAAATGAGAATGATTTTAAGGAGGGTAAGAAGCTGTGGAATTGTGTTGTTGAATGTAGCACCTATGGGGATTTGAAGTTGCCAAGAATGCTGATAGGACTATCAGTGGCGAGGAGAAGACTGTGGATCTTGAGATCAGTGGATGAGGCAGTGTGTCCAGGTACAGCAATAAAGGGTTTTGAAGGGTAGTAAGGTCTATCCTTACATGTGCTTCAAAGAATATGGGATCTTTGGAGGAAAAAAAAAGAAGAGAGATACTGGAAACTACATTAGGGAGCAAGAAAAAAACTCATCTCCGGGCACTGACTTATAGTAGAAGAAAAAATAGCCTTACTTGAGAGCCCTTCAGTAGAAGCCATGTCCTCAGGGGATGAGCAGGTTAAGTTTTAGGTTGAGGGTATAGATGAGTGTTCTAATAAAAAATAGTTCATTTTAATACATTTGTCAAGCACTTACTATTTGCCGGAAGCAAAACTGTTCCCAACTCTAAACACATATTAACTCATGTGATCCTCACAATAATCCTATAATATTGGTACTATTATTAGTCTCACTTTATGAATGAGGAAATTGAGAAGTTAAGCAACTTGCCCTTGGTCACAGAGTTGGAAGTGGCAGTGCTAGATTTGATTCCCTCTGGTGTTCCAGGCAATAACCACACTATACTGCTGATGGCAGATGATGATTTTCAACACAGTGGAAGTATTTAGGAAGGAAATGAAAGATAGATGATGGGGCCAAATTAGAGGATATTTAGAGCAGTGTTGAATGAACACTTTTATATTGAAGGATGATCTTGGAAGCTTGTACTTCTGGTGGAGACTTTGGTGAACAGTAGTTTGATGAACTTTTGGCATATTTCAGACCAAAGAACAACTTGAAGGCCTTAGATGGCTAGTTTTGCTAGGGGTGGAGATGTTTTGGTAACTGGGAAAAAGTGGCTAATTAAAGTTTTGAGGTGTCCCATGACACCACTGAGAGGAGGTGGGAGGGTAATTGATGATTTATATTTTCATAGCAGTTGCCTACCGTTTTATTGTCTTGTCTTATTGACAGTCTTGGGTGAATAATACATTGACTAGTTATCTTTCTGGCCCTGAAATTCAAGGATTGTAGTCTTATCATCTGATATTATTAGTACAGCTGCTTTTGGCAGCAAAATTTAGAACAATACTAGTCACACTGAAAGGAAGATGAAAAGACGTTGTAGAAAAAATTTTTCTATTTTTTTCACAAGACTACTTGCAAGGGTTAACTATTTTTCTCTGATTGTAGAAGTACTGTTTGCGGCTGGGCATGGTGGCTCATGCATGTAATCGTAGCACTTTGAGAGGCCACAGTGGGTGGATCACTTGAGCTCAGAAGTTTGAGACCAGCCTGGGCAACGTAATGAAACCCTCTCTATTAAAAAAAAAAACAAAAATTAGCTGGATGTGGTGGTACGTACCTGTAATCCCAGCTACTTGGGAGGCTGAGGTGGGAGAATCGCTTGAGCTAGGGGAGGCTGAGGCTGCAGTGAGCTATGATGGCGCCATTGCATGCAGGCCTGGGTGATAAAGTGAGAGTTTGCCCTCCATCCCACAAAAAGGTACTATTTGTTCATTTTGGAAAATTTATAACAATTTTACCACTCAGATAAATTTTAAAAATGTTATTTTATTTCTGCCATATATATGTTTATTATTTATATATATAAATTATATATGTAATTATATAATATATAAAATTATACATATAATTATATAATATATAAAATTATACATATTTTATTTTTATATATAAATAAATATATATGTGTGTATGTGTATATATATATATATATATAAATTATATATATTTATTTATTTATTTATTTTGAGATGGAGTCTTGCCCTGTCACCCAGGTTGGAGTGCAGTGGCGCAGCCCTGGCCTACTGCAACCTCCACCTCCTGGGTTTAAGCAATTCTCCTGCCTCAGCTTCCTGAGTAGCTGGGACTACAGGCATGCACTATCACACCCGGCTAATTTGTGTATTTTTAGTAGAGAAAGGGTTTTACCATGTTGGCCAGGCTGGTCTTGAACTCCTGCCCTCAGGTTATTCACCTGCCTTGGCCAACCAAAGTGCTGGGATTACAGGCTTGAGCCACTGCGCTCGGCCATCTGCCTATCATATTTTTAATATAATCTTATATTACAGTCATGTTTTGCTTAAACAGGATATGTTCTTAACGACACAGAGAAATGTGTCATTAGGCAATTTTGCGGTTGTGTGAACATAATAGAGTATACTTATACAAACCTTGATGGTATAGCCTGTTACACACTTAGGGTATATGATAGAGCGTATTGCTCCTAGGCTACAAACCTGTGTAGCATGTTACTATACTGAACATTATACAGTAGGCAGTTGTAACACAATGGTAAGCATTTGTGTATCTAAACAGATCTGAACATAGAAAATGTGTGGTAAAAACACAGTATTATCATCTTAAGCGACCACTGTTGAATATGCGGTCAGTCATTGACTAAAATGTCACTATGTGACACGTGTCTTTAACCCTAAATTAAATCCTATTGTATGTACAGTTTTCCTTCATTTTTCACTTCACTTTATTTTTTTTTTTGTTAAATCAAGAGCATTTCCCTAGATCATAAAGTTGTTCTTTCAAACCTGATTCCTGAAGACTGTATAACTGGTTTGTTGGGTGGGTTGAATTTGGTGGGTTACAGCTAGGAAATTTGGGTTTATGCTTCATTCAGGATTTGTCTGATTTTTTTTTTTCTTTTCAGCCTCACGGGTAGATCTCATTACTTTCAACTTACTTTTAGCTGTAAGAATGGTGTCATTTTCAGGAATTAGAGTACTGCCTAATCTAAACCAAAAACATCCAATTTGCTCTTCTTTTCTTTCCATTTAGCTCCATCCTGACTGAAGACTTAATGACCTACAGTGGGAAAGGGGGACTCGCCTTACTGCCTCAACTTGCTCTTTCATTCCTCCTTCCATACTCACTTTGCTGTTTCTGGGTCTTCAAAACAGGGAGTGGAGACACATTTGAGGAAGAAGAGCAGATTTTTTTTTTAAACTTAGTGTTCTTCGTAGTTCTTTGCTTGATGTTCTTTATAGTTCTCTTTTGCTTTCATTAGCTGGCCATTACACCCTTGGGTTCTTTGTAAAGCCTCCTGAGGGCAGCTTCCTTGCTACATCTGTGATGAGAGTTCTACTCTCTGTCTGACCTCTTGGGAATCCCCTGGCTCCTGTTACCTCTTTACTCTCCCATACACCCATAGCCTCTTACAGCAAATGTACCTTTGCCCCTGTAGTCAACTTTCCTTAGCAAAATTCCAGTGAAATGGCATATTCTCGGGCCATTCTCATTTTGTCCAGTTGGGCAATGAGAAGTATCACATATCTGTGACTCGTCAAACAGCAAAAGTGCAGCTTGCTTGTTGAGTTACTGCCCTCTCATTTTTTTTTTTTTTTTTTTTTTTTTACTTTCTGTCTTCAGACTTTTCCAGGTGAGAAGCAGTTGCCATTTCTCTGTGTTTATTTATACATCTGGTCTCCAGAGGACACATCAGATTTTCCCAGAACTCTCACCTCTCCTCTCCGGGTGGACACTCTGAGATGGGCCTGTCTTCTATGAGATGGACATACTGAGATGGGATGTGCTTGAGTTCTGCCGAATGGAGATGCCAGAATTCTCTTCTTTTAGGTCTTCAATTTCTGAAAGTAAAATCTTTGGCCACCCCCTCATTTGTCTTGACACAGGAGAGGTATTCTACTGCCTTATACTTTGGAGAGGAAGAGAGAAAACAATGTTCTCTATAACTTGGAATTTCTTCAAAATATCCCCACCATGAATCTTTAGCCTTATCTTATATAGCCTGAAGATGAATGATAAAGGGCTTATGGTTGAAGGGCCAGTTTGGCTACCTTTTGGTAAGTCATGTGAGACTGTGTCTAGCAACTTACCTTGAGACTTTCATTTAAATTATGAGGCAGTAAGAAAAATCCTTTCCCTATCTTGACGTAAATGCGAGTATTTTATATATACTAATAGTTCAAGTGATTTCATAGTAAACATTACTGGTCAGTATGGTTCCTTCACATAGGAGCTTCAATCAACCCTCAAGGGAGTAGCAAAAAGGAACTGTTTACACTATAGGAATGGAAATTATAGGAACTAGGGCTGAGCCTTGCATCTTACAGTAACTAGATAAGTTAACTTTAGGCAAATCACTTGCTTTCTCTTGGCATCATCTTTAAAATGAGAGAGTTAGAGTAAAGGATCTCCTCCAAGATTCCTTGTGGCTCTAAAGTTTATGAATCTGTTTCCAAGGCATTTCTACTGTTAGAACTACACCTAGGAACTTGTCAACAGAGTACTCCTGTAAGTGGAGTTTTCAGAAGAGAGCCAGTACTAAACCATACCCTTCCATGTCATACCATTTCATGCCATTCATTCATTTCTTCAACATTTATTCATTCACTTAACAAATACTATATTTACTTGTATGAATCCAGCCATTGAACCAAATTCACATGCAAGTTAGATACTGTGCCTTTTCCGCTTAAGAGAAAACCAAACCAAACAAAACCACTGTTTGAGAAACTGTAATTGAACAAATAGCAATTATTAATAAAATAACAAATGTAGATTCTAAGTACAGTTCCTGGCACATAGTAGTTGCTTAGAAAATGTTAATTCCTCCCTGAAACAAAGGGCAATTAAGCCAATGGAACATGTTCTGGGGGCTGCACTAATTGTATCACATAAATGCTACATTTTTGGTAATTTGTGGGTGTTCTTATAACACAATCATGTAACATCATCATTTGTCATAGTCATTTAGCAACTTTCTCTTATTGCAAAACCAGACCTTCCTTTAACTTATTAATGGTGAATTCTCACTGATGCTACTGTAGAAGCTTGAGTGCTCACCATTCATAGAGGAACATTCTGAATTAAATGGCTTCCACTCTTGATTTCTGTTGCATCTGTAGTTTTCTAGTATTTCCCAAACACTCGGATGTTTATGTGCCCGGGTAAAGTATCATAATCAGATATTAGGAACAACAGATAATGAACTCAGAAAATTCTAGGAAGTCCTATATTGTTTTCATGTATCAGTTACCCAAGTAACAAGAGAGGTGTTTGCATTTTTGGAGGGGATTGAACAATGTTTGCTATGTTTTCATCACTTAACATATTACTTCATGTATGTGGGTCATTCCTACCGAATTACTAACTGGGCAGGTCTCAAAACTGTTACTAATCACCTCTGTCCAGATATAGATTAGACCTTACAAAATCAATGTTTTCTGGATGTTTTTCTGTCTATAGCTACTCTTTGCTCTTTTTTTTTTTTTTTAGTCAGGGTCTTGTTTTGTCACCCAGGCTGGAATGCAATGGTGCAATCTCCTCTCCTGTTAGGCTCAAGGGATCCTCCTGCCTTAGCGCCATGAGTAGCTGAGACTAGAGGCATACACCACCACGCTTGACTAATTTTTGTATTTTTTGTAGAGATGGGGTTGCACCATGTTGCCTGGGCTGATCTCCAACTCCTGAGCCCAAGAGATCCACCTGCCTTAGCCTCCCAAAGTGCTGGGATTTCAGGCATAAGCCACTGCACCCAGCCAATTCTTTGCTTATTTAAATGACAGAATTAGACATTGCCCAGAAGTTGGACCAAATTGGATTCCCACTAGTAAAATTTAAGTGGTAGAGCTTCTTGTCATACTGTCATACTTGTCATACTGTATTTTATATTAATAATATATATATATTTTCCATTCCCTTTGTTGCTGCCCTAGTTCAGGTTTTAAATTATTCAATACCTGACCGAATATAATAGTGTCATAATGATGTAGACCAGTGAAGTATGAGCATTCCATGGAGCAAATGTTCTTTCCAGGGTGATCTGACCACAAAATTAAGTGTTATTGGTATTGCTTTGTTGGTTGTATAGCCTTTCTAGAACTCAATAGGTAATAAGATGAAGGAAGCCATATCTTTTCCTTGTATGCTACATTTGCTAAGTGATACGAAGAAGCCTCACATAACTGTTCCCTTACTGGTTAAAAAGTAGCCGGCTAATATATTTTCATTTCTTGTGTGTTTCATAACATAATATAAATAGTGGAAAATTTGGTAAAATCTAAAAGCTATAATTGTCAGTATCATTGATATTGGAAAATATAATCATGACTGAACAAAATTGTATCTACTGGAGAATTTTCTGTTCTCCTCACGTGATTCTGGCATTATTAGATGTTGTATTCATACTTAATATTTTTCAAGGTTCTTCCCCACCCCCAATTTAGTACTGCCATATTTTTCTATCATTCTCTCCCATAACACTGTGTCTTCTGATACATTTTACAAATTTCTTTTTTTTTATGTACCCCTTGTTGTAGCCAAATCCTGTTTCTTTCTCATTAATGTCTTATATACTGCATTTTTCTTCTGGCCCCATTCCTAGCCATTCACACACATGGCCTTCATGCTAGTTCTGGTGTTTACTATTTAATGATTGAGTTAGTGCTATAGTCTGTTAATGAATGATACTAATAGCTAACATTTGTATGGCTCCTTGCAGATTAGAGAGTGAATCCTCAAGGTTTTTTAAAATTTTTTTATTTATATGTGTGTGTGTGTACATATATATATACACATATATATATGTACATATCTATATATACACATATATATGTACATATCTATATATACACATATATGTACATATATACACACATATATATGTACATATATATACACATATATATGTACATATATATATACACATATATATGTACATATATATATACACATATATATGTACATATATACACACATATATATGTACATATATATATACACACATATATATGTACATATATATATACACATATATATGTACATATATATATATACACATATATATGTACATATATATATATATGTATATTTAAGGCGGATCTCACTCTGTCACCCAGGCTGGAGTGCAGTGGTGCTATCTTGGCTCACTGCAACCTCCACCTCCCGGGTTCAAGCGATTCTCCTGCCTCGGCCTCCTGAGTAGCTGGGATTACAGTCACCTGCCACCACACCTGGCTAATTTTTGTATTTTTAGTGGAGACGGGGTTTCGCCATGTTGACCAGGCTGGTCTTGAACTCCTGACCTCAGGTGATCCGCCCTTCTCGGCCTCCCAAAGTGTTGGGATTACAGGCATGAACCACCACGCTCGGCTGTCAAGTTTTTTTACTTGAGCATTTTAATCAGCTTATTGTTATTCCTGTTTTAAAGATGACAAACCAGAGACTTTGAGAGTATCAGAGAATATTAATTAAAAGGGCAGTGACTAGGGCCAGGTGTTGCCTTTTTGATTTTTTTCATCTCTAGTACTTGGTGTAGGTATAAACTTTTTTTTTCTTTCTGAATGAATTAAAACTTTATTATTGGCTCTTCAATAGCTTGATTCCAGGAACTGAATTTTGGCCATGCCTTATATCACTATTCCAATAATTTGTACCCTGGCTTGTTGCTCCCTGCACCTTAGTTACCAGCTTCGTTTACTGGTTAGTTCATCATTAAGCTTTCCTTGAACTGATATCAACAACCAAATAACACTTGTACTTGAAAGAAGTGGTCAAAGGATGTGATGCCTATATTTAGAGGAAGAGCTGTCTAAGCAGAGGGAATCCAAATACAATAGCCCTGGAGTGGGAAATTCCCCAGCATGTTTCAGAAATAGAAAGCAGGCCAACATTGTTGGAATAGAGAGTAGGTGGGGAGAGGCAAAGGTGGGAGGAGTTAAAGTCAAGTCAAAGGTAACAAAATGTGAAGCTGATATGTGAAGCTTGAAATATCTCCTGCAGATTGAGAGGGACACTAATAAAGTGTCTTTTCTAATGACCTGCCAGATTACAGAAGTGGAAGATGAGGTCATGGAAAGCTTCTCAGACATAAGGGAGCTAAAATCATTTATGTTTTAAAGAAGCATTCTCGGCCGGGCGCGGCGGCTCACGCCTGTAATCCCAGCACTTTGGGAGGCCGAGGCTGCTGGGAGGCCGAGGCGGGCAGATCACGAGTTGAGGAGATCGAGACCATCCTGGCTAATGCGGTGAAACCCCGTCTCTATTAAAAATACAAAAAAATTAGCCGGGCGTGGTGGCGGGCGCCTGTAGTCCCAGCTACTCCGGAGGCTGAGGTAGGAGAATGGCGTGAACCCGGGAGGCGGAGCTTGCCGTGATTCGAGATCGCGCCAGTGCACTCCAGCCTGGGCGACAGAGCAAGACTCCATCTCAAAAAAAAAAAAAAAAAAAAAAAAAAAGCATTCTCTACCAGACTTTTAAAAAAATTTCCGTCCTGATTTTGAATTTAACTATAGGAACAAAACAAAACAAAAAAAACTGACTTAAGGAAAGGCCAGGAACTCAGTTCTGTTGAACAGCCTTCCTAAGAAAGATTTTCAATGTTTCTCAGGTGCGTTTAGACTAACTTCATTAGGCTTGTCCACAGTGACCTCTAACAGTTACTTGCAGTGTTTTGATGGTGTTTTCCCAGTCCTAGGCTGATTTTGCTTTGCTTTTTTTTTTCTCTCTGATAAACCCATTCCATTAAAAAAAAAAAAAATCCAAAAAACAAAACACTTGTAATCACAGAATGTTTAGCACAGAACCTTGTATATAGTAAGTAATCTTCATCATGTTATTAATATCTAGATCCCCAGTATTCAGAACAGTGACTAATTCGTGAGTCCTTCAATAAACATTTGTTGATTGACTCTCTAAATTTTTGTTATAAATCAAAGTAAATCTTTGTGATTGGGTCTCTTATACCTGCTGACATTATTTTCCTGAGGCCGACTGCATATCTGCTTAGACTTCACTGCCTGCTGCTTAACCTCATTTTCCTAATGTTCTCTGCCTACTGCTAGACCTACCTGTTTTTACCAGCCTGCATGCATGGATTTCTTCCCAGAGTTATGGTGCTTCTGGGACTCCCTAATTGTCAACAGCTAGTGTATCTATTTGATCTTTAGGTCTTACGTTTAACTGGATGAGATGCTTACCAAGACTGTGTAGAATTCTTTAAGAGCCATTTAGAGCTTTAAATTCTTTCTTAAAGATGATTTTCACACTATGTTTGTAGTACATGGTTGTCAGCCAAATATCAGCTAGATCTTTTGATAATAAAGTATTAGAGACAGTAATGTAATAACCATTAATGGTTTCATAGTGAGCACTTTTGGTCTGCTTTCTGCACAGCTGCCCTTTTGTCATTGAATAAATTGTGAGGGAGGAGAGAGTAAAAAGGACAATTGGGTAAAACATAATCTTTATATGACCATTCCTGATAACAGCAAGAATAATTATGCCTAATTCCTTGAGTGAAACATCTCTCAAGTATATAGAATGATTTTGAATATTTCTGCTAATATATAAAGGAAAAGAAAGAATCAAGTGAGATTTCCAAGCTTTTAAACTAGAGTACATCTGAACCCTTTGTGAAACTGAAACATATGTTTATGTTCATTTTGTGGGTGTTGGTGCAAAACTTTCACTAGCTTCAACAAGTAAATTTTTTAAAATGGTATTTTGTTGATCTTATCTGTCAGGACTGTAGGCCTCAAATATTACATTTTTTTTTTATGGGAAAACAACTTTATGAGATAACTATTTACACTTAAAATAGCTTTAATTCCATATGTTACATTTGATGGTCATCTTATTATGGCAAAAAAAGAGGAGGCTACCTGAATACATTTTTATTTTATTTTTATTTTTAGAGATAAGTTCTTGTTCTGTCACCCTGGCCGGAGTACAGTGGCACAATCATAGTGTACTGCAGCCTCCAACTGCTGGGTTCAAGCGATCTTCCTCAGCTGGGTTACAGGCATTAGTCACTGTGCCTGGCCCTGAGTACATTTTTGTATTCTATGATATGTGTATCATTTTTTAGTTCCTATTTCACAGTTTTGAAGTAATTTGAATTAGTGATTCCTTGTAGAACTTCAAAATTATTATCTGTCAGAATTAATTTTGTTCTTTTAGAATAAAGAAGTGAGGTATGACAGTAGGCATCTATCTGACACACTTTCTTGTTGTCCCCAAGGAACCTCTTTTAAGTATTTCACCTGGTCAAGGAACGCAAAGGATTAGGTGTTGATGTTTTGTTTAAGTGGGATAGCGTTCAATAGGTAGGGGCAGGAGGGAAGAATTGACCAATTGTTTCCAAAATGGGTGTAGGAACCTAGGCATGCAATATAAGCTACTAATTTATCTGTTTAAACTGGAAACAAAGATTTTTAGATACTACGGGGTCAAGATAACAAAATTTTAGTTATTCTTAATGGCACCTTCTCAAGTGCTGTATTCTTTTTTTTATAAAGAAGAAGTTCAGTTAGGTAATTAAAATTAAGTGGATGTTTGACCTGAAAAAATAGAGGAGGCATTCCTAAAAGATTTGCTATATTAATGGTTTCAAAACAAAAAAGAAATACACTAAAACAGGTGCTTTCAAATTCAAATTTCAAAATCACTGGGATAGGTCCTCCAGAATGATTGAAGGCCGAATTCATATTTGTTTGTTTTAAATGAGATTTTTAAAAATTTCACAAATGCATGAGAGTTTTTTGGTACTCTGGTAAACTGTATAACATTTATTAAAATCTAGAAGTAGTTTTAGTGCAGCATTTTAAAGCAAAATTAAGTATCATATCTTTGAGGGCTTGACGTGGGACTCAGGTAGTTCAAAAGTAGGTATTTGTAAAGAGTTACTGCTCTAATTATGGAGATGCATTAGTTATAATATATTGCTAATTAATTTTTTTTCTGTTTTTTTGAGACAGGGTCTGGCTCTGTCACCCAGGCTGGAGTGCAGTGGTGCAACCTCAGCTCGCTGCAACCTTCATTTTCTAGGTTCAAGCAATCCTCCCACCCCTCAGTCTTCTGAGTAGCTGAGACTACAGACACATGCCACCATGCCCGGGTAATTTTTGTATTTTTGTAGAGACAGGGTTTCACCATGTTGCCCGGGCTGGTCTTGAACTCCTGAGCTCGAGCGATCTGCCCACCTTAGCCTTCCGAAGTGCTGGGATGAAAGGCATGAGCCACCACACCTGGGCGCTAATTACTTTTCAACAAGTCCTTTCATCCACTTGATGGTAGAGTAGGCATAAACAACCATTCAGTTTGTTATTCATCATGGGTCATTATTCTTAGTGACTAGTCAAACATTTAAATATCTTTTGCATCATAATGTCTAGGCAACAGGCAGGAGAAACATCATGTTGCCATGTGCTTGGATTTTACAAGTGTCTATTAAAATACCATTAATCATTGTACTTATTGAGAATATACATTTTTTTACCTTAAATTTATTACGTGTTCTTTGGATGTTAAAAACGTAGCAGCATGCAGGGCACTGGGGCTCACGCTCCCGTGTAATCTCAGCACTTTGGGAGGCTGAGGCGGGTGGATCACCTGAGGTCAGGAGTTCTAGACCAGCATGGCCAATAAGGTAAAAACCCCGTCTCTACAAAAAAAAAATTACAAAAATTAGCTGGGTGCAGTGGCGTGCACCTGTAGTCCCAGCTACTCAGCAGGCTGAGGCAGGAGAATCTCTTGAACCCAGGAGGTGGAGGTTGCAGTGAGCTGAGATTGTGGCAATGCACTCCAGCCTGGGTGACAGAAGGAGACTGTTTAAAAAAAAAATTAGCAGCAGGCCAGGTACAGTGGCTCATACCTATAATCCCAGCACTTCGAGAAGCCGAAGAGGGAGGATTACTTGAGGCCAGGAGTTCAAGATCAGCCTGAGCAACATAGCAAAACCTCATCTCTAAAAATAAAAATAAAATACATAAAAATTAGCTGGGTGTGGTGGTGCATGCCTGTAGTCCCAGCCTCTTGGGAGGCTGAGGCAAGAGGGCCACTTGAGCCCAGGAGATTGATGCTGCAGTGAGCCATGATCACGCCACTGCACTCTAGCTGGGGTGACAGAGGAAGACCCTGTCTTTAAAAGAATAAAAAATAAATGTATACGTGTTATATTTTTAAATCAATTTGAATGGTATTTATTAAATTGCTTACAATGTGCAATATATTGTGGTGGATTAAAGAGAAGCACTATAAGGCATGACATTTCAAACTTAAATATGTATTCCGGTCACCTGTGGATCTTGTTAAAATGCAGATTTTAATTTATTAGGTCTGTGGTGGGGTCTCAGACCACCATTTCTAACAAACTCCTTGGCTGATGCTCCTGTTTCTGGTCTATGCATATCAAGGCTATAAGGTATAGATTATATCATTAAACAGTTGGCATTCTTATTAAAGAATAGTGTTTACCCACATAAAATATTAAATAAGACTTTAGGATAAGAGGTGGTTGAGAGCTAAAAGAGGCATGGACAATATCTAGTTTAAAAGTTGAGGGGAAGCTGAGATCATTATGGACAAAAAGCAATTAGGGACTGCTTTATGGCAAAGGCAAGGTTTAAGTTAGGCCTTGAAGAGAGGCAGGAATTGGTGGAAAGGCAAAAGGAAAAACTTTACAGAGAAGGCTAGCAGTGGTAAAGACCAAGATGAATCTGAATGAGGGTGGTGACATTTTAGGACAGGTAGCATTCTCTCTCTTTCCCTCCCTCCCTCCATTCCTCCAGGGTATGAGAACTTTGCAGGGGAGAATTTTGCAGGGGAGGAGGAAAAGAGAGAGGGCTCTCTTATTTTCCAGTATATAGAGGTTTTTTGTTGTTGTTTTTTAAAATTTATTATTATTATTTAGATGTTTCTATTGTTTATTTCTAGTTTAATTCCTCTGTGGGCAGCAAAAAAACTTGGTATAATTTCAGTTTTCTGAATTTGTAAGACTTGCTTTATGGCTCAGCATATGGTCTGTTTCAGTAAATGTTACTTGTGTGCTTGAAAAGAATGTGTGTTCTACAGTGGTTGTGTGTAGTGTCTTATAAAAGTCAAATAGGTCAAGATAGTTAATAGGATTGCTTAAATCTTTCATATCTCTTCTAATTTGTTTTTTGGTCTGCTTTATTAGTTACTAAGAATAGTGAGTTAACATTATGCAACTATGATAATGGACTTACCAGTTTCTTCTTTTATTCTGTCAAATTTTGCTTTTTAGATTTGATATTATTAGGTGGAGATAAACTGAGTTTCATATTTTCTTCTTTTATTGATCCTTGTATTAGTTTCCTACTGTTGTTGTAACAAGTTACCACAAACTTAGTGACTTAACACAAATTTATCTTATAGTTCTGGAGGTCAGAAGTTCAAAATTGGTTTTACTGGACCAAAACTAAGGTTCTCCAAGGGCTCTAGGGGAGAATTCCTTTCCTTTCCTTTTCTAGCTTCTAGTGCTGCAATTCTTGCATTCCTGGGCTCAGGGCCCTTCTTGCATCTTGAAAGTCAGCAGAGGACAAGTGCGGTGGCTCATGCCTGTAATCCCAGCACTTTGGGAGGATAAGGCGGGCAGATCACCTGAGGTCAGGAGTTCAAGACCAGCCTGGCCAACATGGTGAAACCTTGTCTGTATAAAAATACAAAAATTAGCCGGGCATGATGGTGAGTGCCTGTAATCCCAGCTGCTTGGGAAGCTGAGGTGGGAGAGTCACTTGAACCTGGAAGGCGAAGGTTGCAGTGAGCCAAGATCGCGCCATTGCACTCCAGCCTAGGCAACAGAGTGAGACTCTGTCTAAAAAAAAAAAAAAAGCCAGCTTCTTCGATTTTTCTCTATTTCCAGATTCACGTTGCCTTGTCTTTTATAAGGACTCTTGTGATTAGATCAGGCCTACAGAGATAATGCACGAAAATCTCTCCATCTCAAGATCCCTAATGTAGTCATATCTGCAAAGTCGCCTTTGTCATATAAATTAACATATTCACAGGCTCCAGGTATCAGGGCATGGCCATTTTGGGGCTGGGATGAGATGATAGATATTATTATCACAATTCTGTTATCATTATGAAATATTCCTCTCCATCTTTGGTAATATTTAATACTACTTTTTTTTTTTTTTTTTCTGAGACATGGTCTCACTTCATCACTCAAGCTGGAGTTCAGTGGTGCAGTCATGGCTCACTGCAGCCTCAGCCTCCCAGGCTCAAACAATCCTCTCACTTCAGCCTCCTGAGTAGCTATTTTTTTCTTTTTTTTTGTTTTTTTAATTTTTATTTATTTATTTATTTTTGTAGAGATGAGGTCTCACTATATTGCCTAGGCTGGTCTTGAACTCCTGGGCTCAAGCAATCCTCCCAACTCAGCCTCCTAAGGTGCTGGGATTACAGATGTGAACCACCAAACCTGGCTCTTTCTTATTTGCTTAAGGTTCATTGATTCTTACATCTCTAAGCTTGTCTTTCGTTAGTTTTGGAAAATTATTGGCCATTGTACTTTCAAATACTGCTTTTTGGCTGGGTGTGGTGATTCATGCCTGTAATCCCAACACTTTCAGAGGCCAAGGCAGGAGGATTGCTTGAGACCAGGAGTTAGAGACCAGCCTGGGCAACATAGGGAGACCCTTAAAACAACAACAACAAAAAAATAAAAAATAAAAAAGATTAGCTGGGCGTGGTGGCACGCACCTGTGGTCCCAGCTACTCAATAAGTTGAGGTGGGAGGATCACTTGAGCCCAGAAGGTTGAGGCTGCAGTGAGCCATGATCATGCCACTGTACTCCAGCCTGAGTGACAGAGTGGGACCCTGTCTCCAAAAAAAAAACAAAAAAAAACCAACAAAAGCCCCCACAACTATTGCTTCTGCCACATTCTCTTGTTCTGGGACTCTAATTATACATGTGTTATGTGTTGAGAGCATCCCACTTCTCCCTTATGCTCTGTTCTCTTCTTCTTTCTCTCTGTGCTTCATATTGGATATTTTCTATTGATCTGTTTTTGAGCTAACCAAACACATCTTCTTTGTCCAAGCTGCTATTAAACCTATTCAATGAGTTCCTGATTTCAGATACTTTATTTTTTTAGTTTGAGAATATGCATTTAACTATTTTTATAGGTTCAAATTTTCTCTTGAAATTCTGTATTTCTTTATCAGGGGTTCCTCAATCCCTGGACCACAGACTGGTAACAGTCTGTGGCCTGCTAGGAACTGTTACCAGTCTGTGGCCTGCTAGGAACCAGGCACACAGCAGGAAGTGAGCAGCAGTTGAGCCAGCATTGCCCCCTGAGTTTTGCCTCCTGTCAGATCAGTGGTGGCATTAAATTATCATAGGAGTATGAACCTTATTGCGAACTGCACATGTGAGGGATCTAGGTTGTGTGCTTCTTGAGAATCTAATGCCTGACGATCTGAGGTGGAACAGTTTTATCCCAAAACCATCATCCCCCTCCACCCAACCCCCCGACCATCCCTGGAAAAACTGTCTTCCACGAAACCAGTCCTTGGTGCCAAAAGGTCAGGGACTGCTGTTTTAATAAACTTTTTATATTTTTTTCTTCTCCATTCTTTAATGTATTTGTAAGTTTTTTAAAAATCCTCATTAGCTAACTACAGCATCTTGATCATCTGGAGATTTTTTTTCCATTATCTGTTTTTTTCTCTTGACTATTTGTCACGTTTTCTTTTCTCTATTCATATGCCTTGATTTTATGCTACTTATTTTATGCTAAATATATTTAGCATATATTTATATGCTAAATATATTTAGCTACTGATTTTATGCTAAATATAATATGTAAAAGGCCAATTGAGAGAGATTTTTGTTTGTTTTTTGGAATGGGCATGGGTTAAGAGAGATTGAGAGTCATTGTGAATAGGAACATGAGGATAGCACCTTGTTGCTTGTGAAGAAATTGAGTAGGGGAATATTTGTTAAAATGATAATGGGATTTTCTCTAGGACTTTCTAAGAGATTGAGCAAGCTGTATGATCTTGAGCAAGTTACCTAACCTCTAGAAGCCTTGGTTTTATCTTCTGTAAAATGAGATAATTATAGTATTTATCTCACAGAGTTACTGGAGGGAATAAATGAATATTTCTGGCAGCATAGTAAGGGTTTGATATATTACTCATTGAAGATTGAGAATAGACTATTGGATTTGGTTATATGATAAGTTGTTAATGTCTTTGACAGTGGGTTTTCAGGGATGAGTAGAGACAAAGGCCTGAGTAAAGGAGGTACAGGAGAGAATGAGGAATTCAAAACAGCAAGAATAAGCCATTGTTTTGAGATTGTCAAAAAGGATATTAGAGAAATCTGGTAGCCAGAGAGGGACATGAAGTTCAAGGATAAGTTTGAAACATTGTAATGATTGTAATTACAATAAACTTCACGGTAATTTTATGTAGTAGTACTGTTTTGACCCCCACTGTAAAAATGAGAAATCTCTAGCATAAAGAGAGGAATGCAATTCTAAAATGTTTGTGTGCTGAGAATGATCTACTGGGAAGGGAAGAATCGACAATGCAGGAGCTGGAAGGAATAATTCTAGGAGCAAAATTTCAAATAAGTGGGAAATCATGGAATGCAGTCCACAAGTGGAGAGAGTGACCTTTAACAGGAGCAGGGAGTGTGCATTCATTTTAACAATATTGAAAGCAAAGTATATGGGTAGATTTTGGAGTGGGAAGATGAAGTTTTATTCTGATAGCTTGTATTTGCTCACTGAAGTAAGAAACAAGGGAATGAGCTGAGCATGAGTTTGGAGGTATTATAGAAGAAGCAGTGAATTAGTTATTTTGGAGAGTGGGTTGATTTGAGATTACGAATGAGTCTTTTGATAGTGCTGAGGGCCCATTTAAGTTTGTGGTCATACACGTAAAGTGGAGATTGTGGCAGTAGGAGAGAAAAGGGAGGCAGGAAGCTTGACATCTTTGAGAAAGAACAAAAGATGAATTAACATGGTGAAGCCAAGAAAGGAAGAAAACAGTCCTTCCCTTGAAAAGCTTAAAGTATACCTGCCAAGTTAGATGATACACAGGGAAAAGGATACATAAGTAAGCAAATGATAAATGCCAAATGACCTAGAACACAGGCTTTGTTCCTTCACAGGAGGGAGTGAACATTTTGGGTGACATGGATGGCTTTAGTGGGAGGTAAGCATTGATTGGACATTAAAGTATGTGCAGATGCCAAAAGAATAGAGAATCATTTGCCAACTCCCTGGTTCCAGTACTGTGCTTTCTTTTATTTGGAGCCTTTGAATTTCCTGTCTGTTGATTCTACTTCTTTTGGCATTGGGCAGATAGAGACATTGATGCATCCCTTTCTGTCTGAAGATAATACAATGTTATAGTTACCCACAAAGGAGGTATAATCACACTGTAATGACCTTGAGATGTTTTCACTTTTACATAATGTATCAAATATGTTGCTTGAAAATTTGTTAAAACTTGAAAGTATTATTTTGTGTTTGTTTGGCTTTTTTTTTTGGAGGAAGTGGGGTGCTGTTAGAGAATAGAATAATTTTTTTTGTTTGTTTGTTTTCAGGCTCTGTTCTGTTACTTCAAATTTTAGTTGAAATTTACAGATGTGTTTTGAATGTTCTAAGCTTTCTTTGACTTGAACATGAAGGGTGGGAAGAAAGGAAATCTGCAAAGACACGCTTTACATATAAGCTAAAGGGGAAATTTTCTTCTACACAAAATAAAATGTTAGTCACACATATAATGATGGGTTTGTAACTGTCTTGTTACTATTTTGTCCACTACTGAGTGACTTTATTATTTTTCTTATTGCATATTTTTTTTTCTTACGGCCTAGTTAAGAATGATCAACTTCGTGTTTTTAGTCATTTCAGTGAACAGGCAGTCTTCTGTTTCAAACAGAGAAATGTCTGTTGGTAAGAAACTTGCAACAATAATGTAGGGCTTTTTTTAGTGGTTTGTTTTGGAACTTTATATACGCTTTTTAAAAGCAGCTGCAAGGAAAAGTGTGTGTAGGTTTTTGTTTCTTAAATGTTAATGTAAGGGATATTTAAAGAACTATATGAAGCTTTTTAACAGTGCTTTATTTGACTTTTACTAGTTAAATATTTCCTGCACTGTAGTTTTACTGTAAGATGGCAACAATTTTACATAAACAAAATTTTTCTTACAAATACTTTTTTTAATGTTGCAATTATTTTGGCAAAGATACATTTTTGAAAAATAAATTGCATTTATTTTTCTAGTTAATCTCTTACTTTAAAAATAGCATTTAATATTAAATTTAAAAAATAAATTCTCTCTTTTGTTTTTTTGATGGAGTTTTGCTCTTGTCGTCCAGGCTGGAGTGTAATGGCACAGTCTTGGCTCACTGCTACCTCTGCCTCCCGGGTCCAAGAGATTCTCCTGCCTCAGCCTCCCAAGTAGCTGGGATTACAGGCGCCTGCCACCATGCCCAGCTAATTTTTGTATTTTTAGTAGAGACTGGGTTTCACCATGTTGGCCAGGCTGCTCTTGAACTCCTGACCTCAGGTGATCCATCTGCCTTAGCCTCCCAAAGTGCTAGGATTATATGCATGAGCCAGTGCCTGGCCTTCAAGTATATTTTTACCACATGAATAGCTTTAAATTCTCCATTATACACTTTAATGGCTATTCTACTATATATTTTTTTAGTTTGAAAAAAAAAGCCTTAGGAAAATTTACTTTCCATAGACAGAATTTGTTTAACATTGCGCATTTGAAATTTGTATTAGTTCAGCAAGGAATATATACTATTTGGAATATTATTGATACTGCTGAAATAGTATGAAGGTATCACTAATTTTATATTTAATTTGCCAAGACAAAGAACTCTTAAAATTCCATTATTTTCTTGATATAGTATTTATATAAAATTCTGTTTTGGAACATGTTAGAAGTCTCATTTACTATTAAGTTGTAGAAAGCATATTTGCATTGATTATGATTATGTGTTTTTACATTGCTACCTATATAATGAAACAGGATGGTAGTATTACATTGCAAGTAGATGGCATTTATGCTAAATAGCATTATCTCAAGGGAAAAGAGGATTTTTATATTTAATGTCCCCAAATTCTTACTGTATATTTCTCAACTGCTTGTGGCTGTGTTTTTTAGTTATGAAAAAGAGTAACAACTCAGATTATCTTAAGCACTACTTACAGTAGTGAAATGAATACCCCAAATATGTTACCCTTTCTTATTAAAAAATATTTTGAGAGGAGCTGGAAAATGCAGTAATTATTCCACATTATTTTTATTTCTAATCAAGTTACCATTATTTTCTCATCTTATTTGTTAATAAGGTCAGTTGGAAAAGGTAGTCTTTCACCATATGTCAGTGGCTCCTACATTTTAGTGTGTCTAAGAATCTCCTGGACCTAGGCATGGCAACGCATGCCTCTTACCTCAGCTACTTGGGAGGCTGAGTCAGGACCATTGCTTGAGTCTGGGAGGCAGCAGTGCACTTGGAGGTAGTAGAGTAGCATGATTGTGTCTGTGGATAGCCACTGCACTCTAGCCTGGGCAACATAGTGAGACCCTGTCTATAAAATGAATGAATAAAAATAAAAAAGAATCTCCTGGGTGCTTGATAAATATGTGGATTTCTAAACCCACTAGAAATTCAGAATTACCAGTCTATGTGATTAACAAGCTCCCAGGTGATTAAGATGCATTTGGTCCTTTGAGAAACTTTTGACAGGTAGCAGTTCTTTAACATTTAATTCAGTTCTCATTCATATTAACTCAACATTAATTTCAACATTAACTTAATTTTCATTAAGTCTTCAACAGTCTTAAAGAAGTAAGACTTTGCTACTAAGCTGAGATTGTTTCACTTAAAAACTTACATGAAAGTATTCTAGATATTTTAATAGCTTTGAAAGTTAAAATAATGAGTTCTCATGTTTTAGATTATAATAACATGTTTGTGTAGAGTTCTACAGTTTAATAGTCACTATTACATCTATTGCCATTTTATCTTCATAAAAAGCCTGTAAGGTAGGTAAAACAGGTATTATTACTTTCATTTCATGTACTGGGAAACAGGCTAATGAAAGTTAAGTAACCTGCCCTAGGTCATGTAGCTAATAAACAGCTGAGATTCACTAGAACATAAGTCTTGACTCCTAGACTCATGCTCTTTCCATATCAAACCATATTAAGTTATCTAAAATTGAAGCACTGAAAAAGTGTGTGTACATTTTTAAATATGTAGGTGTATATGTATCACACTCACATGTATATACAAATGTATCATCAGAAATGATTAAACTTTTTCTAATTAAAAACTTAGTATGCTGATTAGATTTTGGCATTTTTAGACAGTAAACATGCTTTGTCTTACAAACTGTAGACTGTGAGTTCCATAAGGGCATGTACTGTGTATTGCATATCTTGGTATTCTCATTGCCTAGCCTAGTGTTTTGCATAGAGCCCCCAGGTGTTCAAGGGTTTGATGAATGAACAAATGGGTAAATGAATGACTGTTAGGTTTTTTTTTGTCAAGGGGTGTTTGAAGGTTTTTGATGTGTATTTTTGTCTCAAAGTGGGAAAGGTTCATTACTGAGCTCTTGACTTTTAAGTGGGGATGACACACATTCTTGAATTATGAGTACATGTAGTGCCAGTTCTCACAAGCAGATGCCAAACACTGCTTCATGAACCAGCACAACAATCATATGATGGTAGTAGTTTCTTCTCTTGCAATGTGTTATGACATATTTTACAGTTTTTAGTTATATACAGGTAATTTTTTTTTAACTAAATATAATGCAAGGGTGTCCAGTCTTTTGGCTTCCCTGGGTCACATTGGAAGAAGAAGAATTGTCTTGGGCCACACATAAAATACGCTAACACTAATGATAGTTGATGAGCTAAAACCAAAATTGCCAAAAAAACTAATAATGTTTTAAGAAAGTTTATGAATTTGTGTTGGGCCACATGCAAAGTCATCCTGGGCCGCATGCAGCCTACAGGCTGCAGGTTGGACAAGTTTGATATAATGTATGTTACTGGGTAAAATTAAATTCTAAGTAGAGGAGAAAGGGGCTCCTCTTATTTTATTATTTAAAAATTATTTATTTATTTGTATAGGTATGTATAATACAGGTGTCTTGCTATGTTACCTGCCTAGGCTGGTCTCATACTCCTGTCCTCAAGCAATCCTCCCTCCTCGGCCTCCTGAGTAGTTGGAATTATAGGCATAAGCCACCAAGGCTAGTGTACTATTTATTGTAGAAATACTTTAGAACCCTTTAGAGGACATCTTAAAAAATGTTTCTAAACCTAACAAACTTTTAAACTACCATTATGGCTTTCTCCTTGCCTTTCTTTCTAGAAATACATTGATCCAACTCCTGTTCTACCCAAGTTGTGGTGGTGGTGGCTCAGAAAGATTTTCACTATTCTGTTATCTGTTTAGAAGATATCCTTTTATGTAATATAAAATAAATTTTTTGGTGTCTCTTCCTAATTGTATAAAATTTCCTAAGAGGCACGGTCACCCTTTTTATCTTAGAGCCAGATTATCCCTTTGCCAATTACCCAGAATGTCCAAATATACAGTTTTGATAGGCCACAGTTTTGTTTGATTTTGTTTTTGTTTTATCAATATATTTAATTTTCCTGTCTGGTAGGAGTAGGAAGAATGCATGAATGCAGTCTAATTTAGTCTATTTCTCTGCATATTTGCAACTTGTAACTAGTTTGGTAAGGAATTATATTGAATCAATGGTTCAAATGAAGTTTTGGAGAAGCTGTGGTTTTCATGTATTTCTACAGTTCTCCTTTTTTAAAAAATATTACATATAGTTGTTAAGTGCATTCATTACTAATCCTGAAATCCCATTTCTAAAAGGCAAATGTCTAGCAAAATACTTTTTCTTGAAAAGATTGGAGAAGAATTTAAGTGGTGACAACATTAAACACTTCTCATGAAGACATGCCTTCGATAGATGTTCTGGGCACTGGTTTTGATTCAGTTTTTGGTACTTAGCCAAGCGTTCCTCCCATGCACTCTCAAGTTCTTTCTGGCCACACTGTGATTTTGCCTCAGTAAGTATCTGTAGAATCATGGGAACTTGGCCTTTACTGTTGTTGATAACATTTTATTGTGAACACCCTTTAATCTTTGGCATACTAAAATTTCATCTGAAGCATTTTTCAGCCTAGAAATGTTTTTTGTTTTTTCCCCAAATATTGTCTTTTTAAAAGACAAGACAATTGGGTAAAGAATTTACCTTGAGAATTTTGTTTCCTTACTTCTCCATTTTCCCAGTCATTATTTTTGTTGCTTTTGACCCGGAAACAAGTTCTTTTTCCTGTATCCTTCTCTAATCTTTTAGCTCGTTTGAAAACTGAAGTTTTCTACTGTTACTATTCCTTATGAATGTCTATTTTTCCTTGCTTACTATATACTGTCTGGCCTTTACCTCATTTCCTTTTGGTTCCTAGAGCACTTATGATTCTCTTTTGTGGTACTTATTTTATCTTGCATTTTTAAAGGAACATGTCTGTATTCTCTGAAATGCAGACTCTGTGAGGGTAAACTCTTAGCTTATTTACATTTGTGTCTTACAAGTGTCAAGCGTGGGGTTTTTCAATGAGTGGATGCTCAATCAATATTTATTCTCTTGGATTAAATTAATCTTCTGGTTTGGCTTCCATGAGTATAATTATATAAAAATCACTTGTCTCTAGGAACCTTTGTGAAACCTGAGCAGAAGATGGTTTTCTCCTTTGGTATAATTGGTCATTTTCTGCTTTAGGTTTTTTTTGTCCTGATTTCTGATGCATTATCAGAACTACACATCTTGGCAGTACATGTCTCTTTTTTGTTTTGGTTAGAAATAAGATAGTCACGTTCTAGAACTTCAGCCTAAATCAGCCTTTCTCTATTTCTGGACCTAGTGATAGTTCTTGACTCTATCAGCACATTACTGGAATTAGCAAGCAAGTAGCAGCAGTTAAAGACCCTTCCCTTTCTTTTTATGGCTGCATAGTATTCTATGGTGTATGTGTACCACATTTTCTTTATCCAGTCTGTCATTAAGCTGGAAGCCGTTATCCTCAGCAAAGTAATGCAGGAACAGAAAACCAAACACCTTATGTTCTCACTCATAAGTGAGAGTTGAATGACGAGAACAAATGGATACATGGAGGGGAACAACACACACTGGGGCCTGTTGGGGGTTGGGGTGAGGGGAGGTAGAGCATTAGGAAGAATAGCTAATGGATGCTGGGCTTAATACCTAGGTGATGGGTTGATCTGTGCAGCAAACCACCATGGCACATGTTTACCTTGTAATAATCCAGCACATCCTGCACATGTACCCCGGAATGTAAAATAGAAGTTGAAGGAAAAAAAGAGACTCTCCCCTTCTGGTATTTAAAAGATCTTGGACTCTCAGCTCTCCTTCTCATCACCTAAAGTAGAGGCTGAGCATTAATAACTTTCAACCATAAGTAAAGAAAATTGTAAACCGTGGAAAATAGCTTTAAAGCCTTAGGACTAGGGATTTTCACTAAACCAGGAAGAATTTTTTGTGTAGCATTCTCTTGGCTTTGTTTCTGTATTAGTGTTTTCACTTATTAGCAAAGAGCTTTGTGTCGATGTTATGCACATGAGGTACATGTGGTAAATAGAATAAATATATAAATGATAAATGGTGGCAATTTATCCCCCTTCTTTCCCTTTAATTTCAGTAAGATGTAAAATAAATTAATTGGGGTGGAGTCACATAAAAATATATTTTAATTCCTTCAACTTCTAGTAAATAAATGCTTTCTGCTACTGGTTGTCAGAAGTGTGAAATCCATCTTTTCAGCAGGGCCAATTATCAGCAGAGAGGATCCGAATTGAGGTGAGTGAGAGGCCCAATCACATGGAAGATGCCTAGGGGCCTATCAGAGAGACACAGGGGCAAGTATGCCTGGCCTCAGCTGTAGCTTGCCAATTAGCCTGCTGAGCAGCTTTGGGTTTTATTTGTTACTTGGGGGAGAGAAGATGTGGGATAACCAAATTAAGACCTCGTGCATACAGAGTGTCTCATATGTCTCATGTTTATATAATGTATTATGAATGTTAAATGCATCAGATACCTCATTATATTTACAACTTCATGAATATTAGGTGCTTTTTGCATATTTAGTGCCTCATCAATGTAGATTTCTCTTGTTCCTTCCATTCTGTCTCTATTTAGGGATAGATACTAGACTTATTAACTACAAATGTCCCAAGGTATCCCTGAGGAATTGGTTCCAGCCATACCTCATTGTCCCCTGTGGGTACCAAAATCTGTGGATGCTCAAGTCCCTTACATAAAATGGCATAATATTTGCATATATACTCACACATCCTCACATATACTTTAAATCATCTCTAGGTTACTTATAATACAAAATACAATATAAATGCTATGTAAATAATTGTTATACTATATTTTCTTTTGATGGAATCTTGCTGTGATCTTGGCTCACTGTAGCCTCGACATCCTTGATTCAAGTGATGCTGCAGCCTCAGCCTCCAGAGTAGCTGGGACTACAGGTGCATGCCACCATGTCCACTTTGTATTTTTTTGTAGAGATGGGGTTTCTCTGTGTTGCCTAGGCTGGTCTTGAACTCTTGTGCTCAAGTGATTCTCCTGCCTCAGCCTCCCAAAGTGTGGGGAGTACAGGCATGAGTCACCGCTCTCAGACATTATACTGTATTTTTAAAATTTGTATTTTTATTGTTTTTTTATTGTGTTATTTTTAATTTTTTTGAGTATTTTTGATCCTTGGTTGGTTGAATCCACAGATGTGGAACCTGGGGATATAGAGGGCTGACTGAATTTCCCTTTATACTCAATGCATCTTATGAATTCTGCCTGTCTCACAAGCTACTTATTTACTGATTACTTTTCTATGGTAAAGTGTTACCTAGGTCTTGTAAACTATATACTTATTCATCTTCTATAGCAGAATTACATATTTTCAAAACCAAATTCACATTATAGGGCCTTTGAAGTTGTGGTTCCCTCTCTTTCTGTAACCCTCTTACTCCAAGGATACTTCTGTAATCCTCTCACTTGGGCTCTTCAACTACCTTCTATTGATCTCCTTTTTGATCTCCTAGCCTAAAACAATTCTCCTGCCTCACCCTCCTGAGTAGCTGGGACTACAGGCGCATGCCACTATGCCTGTTTAATTTTTAAAATTTTTAGTAGAGAAGAGATCTTGCCGTGTTGCCCAGGCTGGTCTCAAACTCCTGAGCTCAAGTGATCCTCTTGCCTCAGCCTCCCAAAGTGCTGGGGTTACAGGCATGAACCACCATGTCCGGCCTATTTTTTGTGTGTTTATATCTTTGTGCATGAGTTCATGTAAAAGAACTTCTTCATGAAGTATCATTCAGTACGAAAGATGGCCACTTGAAACCAAGATTCAATGGCCTTTCTCCCTATGATGGTTTTTAAAATGTAGAGTGTAAATTTCCTAGAACACTCAAGTACATATTTAGCATAGTGTATACAACATTGTTGTACCATAGATAATAAGAATGTGTCAATTACTTTGAGTTTGAAGACAGAATTACAGTTAGAACAATCGTTTTTGGATGTCAATTTTACTTGTGGTTATAGAAGAGCCCCTGGGCATACAATTTAAAAGTCTGGCTAAGAATATTGTGTCAGATTTGTGTGGCTGGCTGTGGTTGAGGCAAAACTTTGTAAGTCATACTCAAAATCTGAGGAACACATTCTACCATTGTGTTAAGTCTGTAAGCTCTGCATTCAGCTATTTACATGTTTCTGGATAGTGCCTGTCATTAGATTATTTTTGCCACCACTTGAGTTGCTATGGCCATGTGTGAAGAGCTAGACTCTTTGTAGGCCAGTGGATCCAAACGTTCGTGTTATTATTTGGGGGAATTGGTGAAGATATAGATCCCAGGGCCCTACTACTACAACAGTTTGTTTGGCTTCCTTCGGTGAGGCTCAGGAACCTGAATTTCACTCATTCAGCAAATGCTTGAGTACCTACAGTATGTACCAGGAACTGTTCTGGGTCATAGGAATATGTCAGTACTACTGTCTTGGAGCCTTGGGAGTCGCTGCAGAGAAAAGAGCAATCACATATTAAATAAGTTAATTACATAATATATTAGAGGGTGGTAAGTACTGTGGAAAAAAATAGAGTTGGTTAAGGTGAATCAGCTCTATGGGGGGTGGTTTGGATGGGGGCTAAGAATGAAGGTGGAAGTGAGTGTGTAGTTTTACCTAGCTCTCAATATTATCCTGATATGTGTTTCACTATATTTTGAAAAACACTGCTGTAGACATTATAATTTAAAATAATTTAGTATTATTTCCCATCAATTGTGGTTCTTCAAATAAAAAAAGTATTGAACACAAACATTATGCTATGCATTATAAAGAACCAAAACAAGTATTTTAGCAGTTTTATTGGGGTATAATTTATAGACCATAAAATTCACCCAATGCAAGTATATAGTTCAGTAATTTAGTACATTGATGCAGTTGTGTGACCATCATCACAATCCAGTTTTAAAACACTTGTCAAGAAGTTCTGTTGTATTTACTAATAAATAGTCGGTCTCAGGCAACTACAGATCCTGTTTTCTATGTAATTTTGCCTTTTCTAGAAATTTTTTAAATAAATAAAATCATACACTATTTATTTAGTCTTTTGAGTTTGGTGTATTTCACTTAGCATTATGTTTTTGGGGTTTATTCACGTTGTGGCATGTGTCAGTAGTTTATTCCTTTTTATTGCAGAGCAGTGTTGGATTGTATGGTTATACCGCACTTCATTCATTCACCAATTGATAAATATTTGCATTGTGCCTAGTTTTTGGTTATTTTTGAATAATGCTGCAAATATTTACATATTTCTATGTCTACCCAAAGACATTACATATGTCTTCCCCAGTTTGGGAACTTGGGCAAATTACTTCGTCTCTCCTGGCTTGACTTTTCTTCTCTATAAAATGAGGGAGTTATCGTAAGTATTCTTTCAGGCCCCCTCAATTTCTATTATATAATAATTTAGTGCGCAAGTATATATACGTGTGTACCCATATAATTACTCTATTTCTTAACCATTTTAATTCATTATCTGAGGAAAACATTATGCTTCCTGCTTAGGGACGTAAAAATATAACGTTTTGTTTAGTAAGATCAATTGTTGAATTGTTCATTCATTTACTTCCACATTTATTAAGTTTTGGCTGTTGCTTTGTACTGAAGATAAAAGATGAAAACCCTTGGGGACCTTAGGGATCTCATGGTGTAACTGAATCCAGATTTGACTGCTCACTGCTTAAAAACCAAACACAAGAGGTGAGGGTTGGGAAGGAAAGCAGGTTTTAATCAGAGAGCCAGCAAACCAAAAAGCATTTTAAAGTACATTCTTACATTTTAAAATTTACCATAGGATTTTTAAAGGGCAACTTGGTATGGGATATATGTGGGTGTGGTACAGGGTCGGGGGTCTCTGTGCCTTGTTCTGATGGCTATCTTAGGTAATCACTGGTCCGGAGGTCAGGTTGGCCTTATGTTGACTTTGTCCCGATGATGGTGGACTAATTGTTCGTGCCTCCCCCTAAGCGGGAGGATTCCACAGGGGCCCTGTGCCTGGTTTGTTTCAAGATTAGCCTCTGGAATTTTTTAAGAGCATAATTAGATAAGCATGTATTGCTGGAGTGGGGTGTTTAGAGAGGGAAGGAATGAAGAGGAGAGGCGGGGGGAAGGAAGAAAAAGAAAGTGGGTGATTTTTCTTCTTCTTTTTTTTTTTTTTTTTGAGACGGAGTCTCGCTCTCGTCACCCAGGCTGGAGTGCAGTGGTGCCATCTTGGATCACTGCAACCTCCACCTCCCGGTTTCAAGCAATTATCCTGCCTCAGCCTCCCAAGTAGCTGGGACTACAGGCGCCCGCAACCACGCCTGTCTAGTTTTTATATTTTTAGTAGAGATCGGGTTTCCCCATGTTGGCCAGGCTAGTCTCCAACTCCTGACCTCAGGAGACCCGCCCGCCTCAGCCTCCCAAAGTGCTGGGATTACAGGCGTCAGCCACTGCGCCCGGCTGAAAGTGGGTGATTTTTATAACTGAGGACATAGGTTATGGTCGTAGAACACAGAAAATACACAGCTAGACAGATAAATGAAAATGCTATGGAAATATGGCGGTATGGAAACATGGCGGAAGAAGCTTTAACCTTAGGAGATGAGGATTGGCCTAACGGAAGTAATGCGGTGAAGAAGCGGGTGGGTGGGATGAGCGGGGTGGGGATGGGCATTTCAGGCAGAGGATAGAACAATTCTAGAGCAATGGAAAGAGAAAGAGCTTGAAGTATTTGAAGGCAGAAATGAGTCAGCCTAGCTTTAAAGGTAATGGGGAGCTACTAAGAGATTTAAATAGGAAAATTAGAATTTTTACTAAATTTGATGTTTTTAAAAGGTTGTTCTAGCAGGTTTATGGAAAGCAGTTTAAAATATATGTATGGTAGTGGACGGGGAAATGGGCTGAGCGGAGGTAGTGAGAACAATGAGAAGATTATTGCTATTGTCTAGGTGAGACATGGCTTTGAACTGAGCTAATAGTTGGGATGGGGAAGATGGTTTGAGAGATTTTACACAGACACAATGAGATCTTCATAATGGATTAGGTGTGAGATAGGTAAGAGAGAAGAAGGCTAGGAAGACTAGCATTTCTCGTTAACGGAGCTAGGGATTGGTGTGGGAAGAGCAGAGATGTGTGAAGAAAGTTTAGTTGTCCTTCGATATATATGGGGGTTTCAGGAACTCCCCCGCCCCCCATCCCTTCTTTAGAAAAGAGATTGGGATGGAGATGAAGATTTCAGAGCTGTAACTATATATTAGGTCGCTGTGAGAATCAAAGGCAATGACACCTGAAATTGCCATGCCAATATTACATAATCACCTGACAAAAAGTGGTAGATCTGGGTTTTCTGACTCCAGTGCGGGAGCTCTTCTACTCAGTGAAATATATTCTTGTGACATTATCATGGAGGGGATTTAAGCAGTCACTGGGGTTGTATTCCAAGATCTTTAAGATCTTTTCAAGTCTTGAGATTGTAACTAATTAGTTCCAGTCTTAAGATTGGAACTAATGTAAACTATGTAAATCAGTGCCTGGTACATAGCATGTGCTATGTCAGTGTTTGTGATTATTCTGTAAATCTACAGCAAAATTAACAAAAATGCAAGCCAATGTTTTATTTATGTCTAATTATTTATAAAGACGTTTGCCAAAAGCAGTAAGAGGGATTGCTTGGATAGAGCCACATGCAGTTTCTTTAAAGATTTGGTTAATGAAAATGAAGTTTAAATTAGGTGAAATTCAACAGGTTTTCTGCTTCAAAACGGTAAATAGACAAAGACTGCAGCATTTGATGTGAAGATGACCTATGTATTGCATGCTCTGCAAGACTTTCAGAAGAATTGGCTTAGAAAAAGCGCTGCCTGGCTGCTGCAGAGCTTTGATTAGCATCTGAATGGAGGAATGAAAAAGAGATGAAACCAAGCATTCAAAATGAGGAGGACTAATGGATTTCCTGCAGATTGGTTTAGTAGTATAGATACTTGAGTTCCGGAATATGCCTGACCTGGTCTGGCTGACTACAACACTGAATCCAAGCTGCAATGCTTGTATTGCTATGCTGAGCTCAGCGTTCCAAGTTAAAAGCCCGCCTACTTCTATTTATATTTCCTTGTTCTTCATCAATAAAATTGGATGGTTTATTGTGAGGGTTAAATGACATTACATGAAATTACATGAAAACCCAGTTGTGATTTTCATGTTATTTCATGTCATGTTATTAACCTCAGTGCCAGGCACATTGTAAATGTCCAACCTGTATTAGTTCCCTTTCTCCTCACTCCACTGCAAGCACAGAAATAGTTAAAAATTTATTCTTTTTCTCTTAATACTTTTGGGAAAGCATTAAAAAATTGCCTCAGTTAGTTTAATACTGACTATCTTAGGCTGGGTTTCCTAGACAACTGTGCCTAGAAGCTTGTGCTCTACCAAGTGGGGAAATAACAGTGTAACAGAAGTGAGGGAAAAATGAAGCAAGGCAGAGAAGACGGAATGGCAAATACAAGGTGACACATAATGGAGTTGCGAACACAGCCAAGTCACCAGGGGTGTCTCTGGACAACCCATATGGAAACACTCATTTGGGATTAGTCCATTGGAGGGAGGAAAGGGAAATAATTTATCTGTGCCTTTTTCTTATCTCTTGCCTTCTATTGGTTAGCATTTGCCTCCTGCCCTGCTGGGTTCTGCTACTCATTCCAGAAGCTACTGGGAAGCCAGATCCTGCAACCCCATGGAGCAGCCTTCATTTGTGTCTAGAAATGGTGGGAAGTGCAAGGGCTTTTGTGAGTCTAGTCAGACCAAGTCTGGTGCCATACTGCTGCAGGTCTTGCACAGTGCCAGGAGCTCAGCCCTCCCTCCAGGCGAGGCTGAGACAGCTGACAAGGTTAGGAGGTGATGCAGGTAGGGCTGAAGGATCTTCAGAAGACCAAAAACTGGGTTCCCTACACAGCAATTTCCTTAGAATGCTATTTATTTCAGAAACATTTTCTTTTAAAATGTGGATCCTTGTTTTATGTAAACATCTAGTATGGCTCATTTATAGTATATATTTTCCCACAATCTGAATTTTATTTTATTGTCTTTATTTTATTTTATTACCTTTTTATTTTATTTTATTATCTTTTTATTTTATTGTCTTTTTCTTTTAAAATTTCTTTTAAAATGTTGATCTTTTTTATGTAAACATCTAGTATGGCTCATTAATAGTACATATTTTCCCACAATCTGAATTTTATTTTATTGTCTTACCAGTGACAGCCAGTGTAACACATGGTGCTGAATTCTCTCAGCACTTGAACATATGAGTGCACAGTGCTGCAAATGCTCTCAACCAACAAGAGCACCAACTACCTCCTTGTCCTGAACTGAAGAAGTTTTTCTAACTTGCATGCACTTCACTTTGGCCTTTGCATTTATTTTACTGCCATTTATTTCACTTTCTGGCAAACATAAGTGGTTGACAAAGGGTGTGCAAGAGCTGGGTATGCCACAAAGAAACAAAGGAATGACCACTGGATTATAAAAGAAAATGTTCTTGTGAAAGCTCCTTCAAGGAAATGCTGAGCAAACAGAGTAATCTCCCTTATGTGCAGCAAAAAGCACCACACACATCACTGCAGCCTGGTAGGACTGGCTGGTGGTTATACAAACAGGGGTTGGGAGAATGATGGTTGAGGCATGCTGTGGCTGCAGGCAGTGTGAAGAGCCAGACATATATTTATGTCACAATCTTCTTGTCACTCTTTCTTTCATTCTTCATGTCACACTCTTCTTGTCACTCTTTCATGAAAAGCCAGGCAGCACTTTTTCTAAGCTCTGTTAATTAGCTCTAACTAATGTTGCTCTCTCTTCGCTGGAAATATCCTTTTAATCCCCAGGTCCTGCTGATTTTTCCTTCCACATTTACTGTGTCTTATCCCCTGACTTGTGCTTTTGTGATTATTTCCATCTTTATCAATCGCTTCTTTTAAAAAATTGCAGTTTAAGGCTGGGTGCGGTGGCTCATTCCTGTAATCCCAGCACTTTGGGAGGCTGAGGTGGGTGGATCATGAGGTCAGGAGTTCAAGACCAGCTTGGCCGAGATGGTGAAACCCCGTCTCTACTAAAAATACAAAAAATTAGCCGGGTGTAATGGCAGGTGCCTGTAATCCCAGCTACTCAGGAGGCTGGGGCAGAAAATTGCTTGAACCCGGGAGGCAGAGGTTGCAGTGAGCCGAGATTATGCCACTGCACTCCAGCCTGGGTGACAGAGCAAGACTCCATCTCAACAACAACAACAACAACAACAACGAAAATTGCAGTCTTTAGCATTTGATTTAGCTTTTACTTCATACACTATTGTAGATTTAATATATGTGATTACATATACATAGGTATGATAGAGTTGTTTCTCCAAGTAGATTATAACTCTTTGGAACCAAATTCTTTTTTATATTTTTATTTTTTATATTTGAGACAGGGTCTTCCTATGTTGCCCAGGTTGGTCTCAAACTCCTGGGCTGAGGCGATTCTTCCATCTTGGCCTCCCAAAGTTCTGGGATTACAGACGTGAGCCACCATGCCCAGCTGTGAACCAAATGTCTTAAACCTCCTCTGTATACACCACTAAATTTAGTTCAGGATGCATAGGGAGCACACTATAAAACCCATTTAGATAGATAGTATCGCTTGTCAACTGAACTGTAGCTATCTGAACTCAGGAAGTGAAAAAAAAAATTTTTTTTATTGAATCCTTCAGTATCCAAACTTGCTATTTGCTACCTAAAACTTAAGAACCAAATGGATTTGGAATTTCTTGCTATTAGAGCTTGTTATTGAAACTCTATCTAAGCTCAGGAACCAAATAGATTTGCACAGCACAGGATACTCGTCTTTCCAGATTTATGTTGTGTTTCAGTGATGGAATCAGTATGTGTTACACTGAGACTCTAGCTATGGCTCCTTCTATCCTGACTTCAGTATAATAATTACACTCAATTATTTTAATCATAATTACTCAAGTATAATAATCATACTGTTACCACTATTGTGAGGGCTGTGGCTAGGCAGGAAGTGTGACCTAGAGAATACTCACAGGGTTTGGAATAAGACATGCATTGGCTTGAATTCTGGCTCTCTCTGGCACTTAACTGTCTATGTTTTACTTTTGTCACATGTCAACTTGTAAAATTAATACCTACTTCTTAGGATTATTGTACTGAATAAAAATAATGCATATAAAATGACTGGCATATATGGTAGGCACTTGTTGAATGACATATATTGTTGTTTTTTTCCAATAGTGCTATTAATCATCTCTTTCAATTCTGACAAATATATATATATTTTTTTCCTTCTTTAAAGCAATCAGTCAAGTAGTTTTTGTTGAATATCTTTTGTAGGTTATACATTACAGTGTATATATGACTTTATATAGAATACTCTTTTTAATATAGTTTGGTATAACATAAATGAAGTTTATCCCACAATGTTGTGGTGGAGCAAGGTTTAGATCTTAGGTTTTCATTGTTTTTAATTTTTTTCTTTTTTTTAATAAACTTTAGTCTCCTAAATAAAGACTACCTTCAAGGAAATAAAATCTAACATCCAGTAATCCTGTTTGTCTCTACTTTTCCTCGTAAACTTGAATCATTCACCTCTTATTAGCATAAATTGAGTGCTATTGTCTTTTTAAACCAGAATTTTCTCCTTCCATTAAAAATTCTTATTTAAATCATTCACTTCTATGAAAATATAATGGGAATGATCTGAATACTCATACTTTGTAAAGGTTTTACAGTGTGTGGATTGCACAAGTGAGAAAAAACCTAGGTGTTTTTTTGTTGTTGTTGTTGCCATTTTGAATAGTTTCCATAGTCTTACTTCTCTCATTTTCCTAAGAACCTGCCAGATGGGAAGCATAGTGCTATATATAGGAGGTTAGGTGTATGGGAGAAGAGATACAACGATGAATCTGAGATGCAAGTAGTGTCCCTAAAACACAATTTGGTTGAAAGTGTGTGTGGGAGACAGACAAATGTACAGAATGAAGGGAAAGTGTATAGTGTGTGGGGTAGTGTGGGAAGAAGAGGAAGATGTGAACATCTCACATCCCACATTGCTTGACATCCCAGCAGATCTGGAGCAGAGGGATAGGCTGTTGGGTTGACACTATATAAAAATCTTCAAAATATGTAGTCATTAATGGAACCTGAATTAAATTATTGAAACTACTGTGAATTAACATTTTAAAAGATATCCATCTTCATAACAATAGATACCTCAGAAAAAAAATGCCCTGCACTCCAAAAGAGTAATGGATAAGGATATATTGTACTGCTCCTAGAAGAAGGTGGTCATTCTCTCAGTTGGTCCCAAAATCTTGGCATGGCTTGGAGCTTAATGGAAAAGATATCTGATTACGGTAAATGTGTCTTATCTTCCAAAGTTCTTTTATGGTATAAATTGCTCACAAATTTGATTTGGTTTTTGGGTATTATGGACTGGTGGCAGTGGCAAGCAGACTCCATTGAAAATAGATGCATGGGAGCCTGTATTTTAATTGCCAGTTAGGGCATCTGGCAAGTTCACCATGGTGCACATTATTTCTCAGTTTATACCACATGTTGTTCCTTTGAGCTAATTTGTGTCATGGATGATTCCATATTGCCCTTTATTGATTTCAGACTCTTAAATGGACAAAGCAAGTGTTTGTATATTAGAGGTACATAAAAGCATATGTGAACTGTGAAACATCAAGGACATATACAATATTATTAACTATTTTTCTTTGTTCTTAGGCTTTCAGGAGACATCAGCATGTATGTATATATGTGTGTGTGTGTGTGTGTGTGTGTGTGTGTGTATGTGTATTTACTGAATAAATATTAAGTAACCAAATACCTGTATTGGTAAATATTACACTGTATGACAGACATTTACATTTAAAGTTTTTTTTTAAATAGAGGAAAATTAACTGATGAAAAGTTTCAGTTCTAACAAACTCTAAAACATATATGTACTAATACAAAATTTACATATTAAGAAGTGTTACATTAAAATTGGACAATTCCCAGATTTTAGAATTCAAGGCATTTTTACCTGTGTTTACAAATTTCTATTAGAGAATGCATTTCTTTCAGTGAGGTTTCAGTATGTTTAGAGCTTTCCTATGTTTTAAAATAAGGAGTAATTTAGCACTGTATCTGGTAGTAAATGGTTTTACAAAACACTGATTTTTGTGTAGTGAATCACAATCTAAATTAACCAGAAGTTTAGTTGGAATAGGATTTTAAAGCCATTCTAGAGATATATCTTTACAACAAATGTAAAAGTTTCTTGTCATAGTTTTATAAGCATGTGTAAGTTAGATTATAGACTTAGCTGCTCTGAGATCCAAAACAATAGGTGTGTAAATAAGAGAAATTATTATTGCAGTCCAGGGCTAGTAGGGAATCTGCAGTGCTGGGGACTAAGGCTCCTTCTATCTTGTGGCTTTGCTGTCCCTAGGATATTGATATAATGTGTATGGATGGAGACTGCCATGTGTACAGCCTAGCAGGAAGAGGAACAGGGAGAATGTCTTCGTCCATTTTTGTTACTATAAGCAAATACCTGAAGATGAGTAATGTATGAAGAAAAGAGATTTATTTGGTCATGGTTCTGCGCGCTGTAAGAAGCATTGCTTCTGGTGAGGGCTTCAGACTGCTTCCACTTACGATGGAAGGTAAAGGGGAACAGCATTATGCAGAGATTACATGGTGAGAGAGGAAGCAAGAAGGGAGGAGATTCCAAGCTCTTTTTAACAATCAGTTCTTACAGAAACAAATAGAGAACTCACTCACACTGCCTCCGGTCCCCGCCATGGAGGGTATTAATCTATTCATGAGGGATCCACCTCCATGACCCAAACACCTCCTATTAAGCCTCACCTCCAACACTGGGGATCAAACTTCAACCAGAAGTTTGTGGGAGACAAACATGCAAATTCCAATAGAGGACCTGCTCTTTTCTTCGAAAGAACTGACCTGGAAGTAGCACACATCACTTTTCTTGCAGCCTTTTAGTCAGAACTCATGTCACACGTTACCACCTATAGCAAAAGAGGGTACCATATACCTAGCTAAGACCCCTATTACTGTGGAGGAAAAAGAATATGCATTTGGGGAGACATTTAGCAGTTACTGCCATGTGCACTGTCTTTTTCATCCATGGAGCATCTCTACTCCCTCACCACGTTTCATCCATCTCATAATTTATTGTACTTGGGAGATGGGAAGTCAGCTCTCTCCCCAAGTTCTGATGTGGATTCTTGTGGTTGGAACATCCAATCTGAAAGCTAATTTCTTTGCCATCTACTAATGGCCCACATACGGATCCAATATACAGTGGATACTGTATCCATTGTATAAGTAGGGGTGGGGTAACACATCCAAAAGACAGCAGCAGAGGAGAAGCAAGATAAAGATACTCCATTTGGAAAGGGGAAGATAGGAAACCTAGCAGTTACTTGTCCTTAGCAACTGTCAAATCCTGTATGTGGGAATCATGATGATTTTTATCCTGGCAGTAGAAAAAGATCTTTGTTAGCCTCCTGGCAAGCTTGCCTCACTGTCTTTGGGGAGGAGAAAATCACTTGTTCTCCCTGGTTCTGGTTATGTCCTTTGGGAGGTTCTCTATTGTCTGTTGTTCTCCATGGCCAAATTTAAAGTGGACATTGGAAAGTGTACTGTTTTCTTGGGGTTGGATAGCTTTCAAAGCTGACTTCCTGCTGATACATGTAAGGGGGCCTGAGAGGTTGTCTTTGAGTTGGACAGTCATAGGCTTTTACAGTCCAAGCTTGTGTGTGTGTGTGTGTGTGTGTGTGTGTGTGTGTGTGTGTGTAACTACTGCATGCTTTCAAAAACTCATTGAGTTTTCTGCCTATTTGTGCAGATTAACTCCAAATGCAAGTAACCATGGCTGAAGATAGTTTTTTTTTTTTCCCCAGCTAAAAATTCTGGATTTAAATTGTTGGACTTTGTGTTCTGCAATTCTCCAGTGTCTTAATCAATGACAGTTACCTCCATGCTTAGGTGAGAAGGTAATACCTTTACCATTTTGATTTCTGGACAGGCTCCCATTGTCTGGCTAGAAACTGTTAGGGTCCCAGGATTATGTCAGTTTAGGTTGTGTCTTCTGAACCTCTTGCTTTAACTGGGTTAGTAAGGAATATAGAAGAACCTGGCTTTTAAACCCTATAAAGCCCCATGGTAAAGTCAACTTAGATTTCAAGCTGTATGTGGTGTGGACTTTCCTCAGTAGAGCTGAATTCACTTAGACGTCTGCCTGAGACTGCTTTATTTAGGCTGAGGTTATTTCTCTTGAAGGACTTTGTTGAGAACAGCAAGAAGTAGCCAATCCATACTAAGTGTTTTGGTGTGGCTTAGAAAGAGTCAGTAGCTTTTCATCTTACTGTTTGTTTTGTCAGCACCTGCCGTTCAACTTCCAAGTCAGTGTCACATATTACAGGTTCTATTAGGTGGCAACTACTTCTGGCTGTCAAATTTTGTTAGGACATGAGTTGAGCTATTCTAACAAAGACCCAGCTTTACAAGGGCTTAATAGAAAAGAAGTTTACATTTCTTCCACATTACAACCAGACTATAAGCAGTCCAGAACTGATAAGTACCATTGTGTTGGTGTCCCGGGATCTTTCTATCTTATTGATTCACCATCCCTCAGGTATTACCCCCATTCACATGATCTGGAATAGTGCACCCTGACCGCTCTGCATTCCAGCCAGTGAAAAAGAAGAAAAAAAGAGGAGGCCCATCCTTTCCATTTAAGGACTCTACTGTTGACATTGACCGGAAGTTGGACACATGACCACATCTAGCTGCAAGGAAGCTTAGAATGTGCAGGGTGTCCAGGCAAAGATTTTGTTAATAAGGAAAAAAGAGAGAATGGATTTTGGAGTACCATTAGCAATTTATGCCACAAAACATAGGATACATATTGGAGCTTAAAGGACAAGAACAAAAACAAAACCCAGAACAAATAAACAGAAAGCCTTTATCACCACACTGAAAATTAATTATTGGGTGGGATAATTGTAAAGTACAGTAACCTAGGCATCAATATCTGACTGCACATATATGTATATATGTATTTAAACTGCCTTTGTAATAATTTGGTCTGCAATTTGCCTTTCAGAGACTACAGTGAAATGCTTATGTGCATTACATTTGATACAATGTGTTTAAAAATTTATGTCTTCACCTGTGAGTTTTTCCCTCATTAATACTTAATGAGGTATAAAGTACAGAGTAGACTCAAAATAGCATAGTCTCAAGCCTTTCTAGCACAGCTTCCCTAACTACAGTGAGAGAAATGTGTAATGTACTCTCAAACTGGAAATTTCTTTGAGTCTTCAAGTCTTATCTAAAAAATTAGTATAAATTTTGTATTCTTCATTTGTATACACATTCTATAAATATATTTGTTTTTAAACTAAGGATATTTAAATTACTTAGTAATTTTACCACATATAAACTTGACACTCCAGGAAGATATACAGTATTTTTTCTATGTCTTTCTTTCACACTGATGCATACCTCTTTGGGTATGGATGAAATGGTCGAGAAATTTGGGTAGTTGGGCTTATAAAACTTATGTGATGTATTTTGTTCATATCCATTAGCATCCAGTGATGAATTAAAAGATATCTGATATTGGTACTGGTGGCAGGCATTTTAAGGGCTACCTCCTTCCCTATTTTCTCTGCCCTTCCTTCTTTCTCAGTGGTTGCTTCCTCAGCCCACTGCCTTCACATAACTGATTCTTCATTCTACCAGTCTCCAATCAAATGTCATAGTTCCTGAGAAAGAACTGTCTTGACTATGGCAGACAGACCCCAAGGTGACACCCAATGATCCTTGCCTCCTGGTTACTTACTTTGCTCGAGTTAAATAGTACCTGTGAATTGCTTCTAATTCATAGAAAACAGCAAAGGTGATGGGATATCACTCCTATGATTACATTATATGAGACCAGATTTTAGCAGACTGGAGAAAGAGATTCTCCTGGTAGTTTTCAAGTAGTAAGCTGACACACTATGAGAAGGTCACATGGCTAGGCCATGAGAGTGGCATTTAGGAGCTGAGAGCTAGCCTTTTGCCAGCAAGAAAAAAGGTCCTCAGTCCAGAACTGCAAGGAACTGAATTCTTCCAACAACTTGAATGAGCTTGGGTGAGGACCCTGAATTCCAACTGAGAATGCCACCCAGCTCTTGCATTGATTTTAGCCTGGTAAGACTTTGAGTGAAAGCCCTAGCTGTGCCATGCCTGGATTTCTGACTTACAGACACTGTGAGATAGTAAAATGTGTGTTATCTAAGGTTCCAAGTTTATAGTAAGTTGTTTCACAGCAATAGAAAAAATGTAGAGATTAAGAGTTCTTTGCTGCTTAAGGGGGAAAAAAAGCCCTATATACCTATATTCTATATCCTGCCTCCATTCTTCATGGATGTGGCTGCCAACATTTGGAGCAGCCTTGTCCAAGAATGGGGGAGTGGGAGACATGATCCAGAATCAGGGATATAATCCAGAATCGGGTCTACAAGTTTCAGCTTCTGTCGAGCTTTCTTGTCTGAGCCCATGCTGTGAACCACTGATTTAAAAATTGTAGTTGTGTGAAGATATTTGACTTTGCAAAGTCTAGAAACCACCTAAGTTATTAGGAATGGCATATTAATAAAATTCTATTCTGTCTTTACAGATAATGTTAAGACAGCTCTTTTAAAACAATAGACTTAATAATCATTATTAAGATTTACCTTAAGTAAAAAAACTCCATGAGTTTAAAAAAAAGCAAAGCACATTTCTTTGGTTGATTTATTTTACATTTGATTTCCTTTTCCTCAAAAATCCCACCTATTCAAGAGTCCTCTGAAATACCATGTTATCTCTTCTTGTCATGACCATACTTTTCTTCCCTGTTCTTACTTGGGCTGATGTCTTCCATCTATTTTACCTTAAGGCTTTGAAACTCAGAATTCAGCATCAGCATCATCACCTGAAATGTATTAGAAATGCAGAATCTCAGCTCCTAGACCACTCAGACCCTTAATATCAAAATCTATGTTTTTAAAACTGTCTATTTACAGTAATTCATGTACACATTAAAGTTTAAAAAGTACTGCTCTAAGCCTCTTCATGGTGTTTTAATAATATATATTTTTAATTACAGTTATTTATTTTTTATTTTTTTGAGATGTCTCATTCTGTCACCCAGGCTGGAGTGCAGTGGCACCATTCTAGCTCACTGCAGCCTTGAACTCCTGAGCTCAAGCGATCCTCTCACTTCAGCCTCCGCAGTAGCTGGGACTATAGGTGTGACCCACCAAGGCAGGCTCATACAGCTATTTTTGTATTTGCCTCATTTTTTATTATTAGATTATAAATTCCCAGTTGTCAGGAGCTTAAGGTTTATTCTTTATTTCTCCTGCAGTGGCTAGCCTGGTTAACTTACCTATAGGGGTACGATAAATTATTTGTTAAATTGAATTGACTCTAGGAGGATTTCTTCCTATTTTCTGGAAACAATTTTTATAGTTAGTCTCAAATATCTGTCATTTAGGATATCATTTGTTGATATAGCAGGAACCTTTATAATCTACTTACAGACATTAGGCCTTTGCCGGAAGGGGAAAGCTAGTGGCTTAGACAACTCATTATGGTTCAAAAATCTCTAATGACATTTTTATTCAATTCCTAATACTCAAATTGTTCTTTCAGAATGTACAAATGTAGTTCCTAACTCTATTAGTATTCACGCTAATGGATCACATTTATCTATTTCCTTTGACCTTCAATTCAAGAAGAGGATTAAGTGCATTTTGCACATTTGTCAAAGATACTTTGTCCTCTAATGTTTCTCTAGTACATTCATGCATTAAAATGTCTAGAAGAGCAAGCCAGCTTTCCTAGATGCCTGCTCTTGCCCACTTGCTAAGGATCTTTTCACTTCCCTCTGATTTTGTCCTAAAAGTAATAGACCAAATTAAACTGGTCAGAATTGTATGAGAAATGCTGTTTGTATTCTCCATTTCTGATACTTCATGCAGTAATGTAACGCTCCATGGATGACATTCGGCTAGCTTTCTAAAAGGCAAACAATCTGTAAAAAAAAGGTTGAAGCAAATGTATGCAAGTTTATTAGAAAGGTAATTTCATTGACAGGTAAGTTCACTCCACATGCTGTTTTGTGTGCATTTAGGAAAATATGGCTTGTTAATTGTTTTTTTGGGAGGGGGGTTTGTTAATTGTTCATTTGGATTTTAAATACAAAAAATCTATTTGTATCCTGAGTCTTATGGAGACTCTTCAGTTTGCCTTAGTAAGCATGACAGTAAGATATCAGAGTTGTTTCGTATAGCAAATTCAAATACACTATAAAAATAATTTTAAAAATCTAAGTCTGCTGAAACTATTGAAAATGCCCCATTGGAGTAGATTATTTTTTTCTAAATTAAATTCATGTTGACCGGAGAAATTAAGACACATATGCAACATTGCCCTTTCAAACATGACTCATGTTTTTATTTTATTGGCAACCAGATTACCTGTAATTGTTCTTAGAATCATCACAATATAAAATTTTCATAATTTTAGAGCTGATGCTTAAGAGAACCTTAGGATCATCTTATTTCATCTTATCATGTGCAGGAATTTTTTCTATGGCAATGGTTTTCAGTCATCTTTTTTGAACACCAAATTATCTTTTCTTAATATAAAATCTTACAAATATATAAGAGCTGAATCTTCTGTGTTTTAAGTGAATGATGAAAGACAGATTCATTCTGTCTCCCACCTCCTGACCCCACAACTTGAGGTAACTTTTGGCAGAGAAACTGAAAATCAAAGAAAGGTAATTTTTTACAAAGTTGGTTGACAAGGCCAGACATCTATTAATTGAAACAATCTCCAAATACATAATTTTAAAAGATGGTTGCTGTGCGGGGTGGAATTCAGTTTCTTGTGCTTATATGACTGAGGTCCCCATTTTCTTGCTTGCTATTGTCTGGGGATTTTACTCAGCTCTTAAACATAGTCTTCTCTGTAAGTAGTTCACAACATAACTGTTTGCTTTCTTCTTGCAGTCCAGCAGAAATATGTCTCATGCTTCACCTTCTTTAAAAGACTCACTTGCCTAATTAGATCAGGCCCACCCAGGATGATTTCCCTTTGATTAACTCTAACCGGTTAGTAACTAAATTGGAAGTGGTATCTCCTCATAATTACAGGTTCCACCACACTTATGGGGCAGGAATTGTGAGTGTGGATCATTGGGGATCATCTTCAAATTCTGCCTACCACATTTTCCTTACAAAAATAAAGTGTTCCTTATAGTCTAATGTCTTGGCTTTGAGCTGTCACTTGTGGTTATTGGGAGATGACAGAATTATGGCTTATTTTAATGTTTGTGGTAGGAGTTTTTTTTCCTTGATGGTAAAAATTGGTATCAATAACATGTTTGTTACTTTAGGACCAGATTCTTAATCTGCACAGTATCATCCATATTTTTAAAATGTTATTTTGATTTCTAGGAAGCAAGATGAAATGACAAGTCTTTTTTCCTTCCCAGAGTGATTGTAAACAAAAATAATATACCTCTGGGATCAAGGATGTATTACTATCATTATAGAGTCAGAATGCTAGCTTTCCCCATAATGAAATAGTTTTTTTTTTTTTTTTTTTGAGACAGAGTCTCGCTCAGTTGCCCAGGCTGGAGTGCAGTGGCTCGATCTTGCTCACTGTAAGCTCTGCCTCCTGGGTTCACACCATTCTCCTGCCTCAGCCTCCTGAGTAGCTGAGACTACAGGCGCCCGCCACCACGCCCAGCTAATTTTTTTGTATTTTTTTAGTAGAGACGGGGTTTCACTGTGTTAGCCAGGATGGTTGCGATCTCCTGACCTCGTGATCCACCCTCCTCAGCCTCCCAAAGTGCTGGGATTACAGGCATGAGCCACCATGCCCGGCCATGAAATAGTTTTAATAAAACATATACTATTATGAAGAGTATAATGAGACCCTTCCCTTTCCCCAAAGAACATATGTACATTTAGAAAGAACTTTGAAGGAGAGTTTTGAAAATTCTGTATATAATTGGTATAGGAATGTAATAAGAAAAAAATAGAAGATGCTAGAAACTAATCTGAGAATGAGAGTTGAAATATCATCCAGTTATTACTTTTATTCTGAGATTACATTTTCCCTTTTACTCCTCCTTTCTTGAATTTTCTCCTGCCCTTCCTTCAATCTACCTACCTTCCTTCCTTCCTTCTTTCCTTCTTCTTTCTTTTCTTTTTTATAAAAGATGGAATCTCAGTATGTTGCCCAAGCTAGCTTCAGACTTCTGGGATCAAGCGGTCCTCTCCTCTTCAGCCTCCTGAGTAGCTGGGACTACAGGCTCGAGCCACCACACTCAGTTTCCTTTCAGTTTTAAAAATGAAACTGAAGTGTTAATTAAACCTTTTTTATTATAAGAATTTATAAAAGTCATTCGATTGACCAACAAAGATGATACTTTATAAACTTTGTATTATCATTTGTTACATATTTAACAACCAAAATCTATTGAAAACTCCCGCTGTATCCAGGAAAGAGACTGGGTCAATGACTTGTTTGTGAAAGGCTGGAGAATTGTAGGGACCTATATTCTAGGTCAATATTGACTTCAGGAATGGGAGTGAAAGGAATGATCACACAGTGGTAGTGCTTTAAAAAAGCGTTGTTAGGCCGGGAGCGGTGGCTCACGCCTGTAACCCGAGTATTTTGGGAGGCTGAGGCAGGCGGATTGCCTGAGCACAGGAGTTCAAGACCAGCCTGGGCAACACGGTGAAACCCTGTCTCTACTAAAATACAAAAAATTAGCCGGGCATGGCAGCGTGCTCCTGTAATCCCAGCTACTCAGGAGGCTGAGGCAGGAGAATTGCCTGAACCTGGGAGGCGGAGGTTGCAGTGAGCAGAGATAGCGCCACTGCACTCCAGCCTGAGCAACAGAGGGAGACTCCGTCTCTTAAAAAACAAAAAAACAAAAAGTGTTGTTACCATTTCCTGAGATTAACCCTGATTTGATCAGGATCTCAATAGGAAACAGATGATATATCAAAACAATATAATTTAGGAATGTTTGGGGGAGAACAGGCAGCCTCAAGGGAGGCGACAAGAGATGAGGCAGTGTTCTGGTGTTAGTAACAGAAGGTAGACTACTGTACCACTGGCTATGGTATAAGAAGTGGCTGCTTAATAGGAGCTGTGGCCTTTGGGAGAGGGACAGAGCCCACCAATGGGACCTGGCAGGGAAGGAATCAGGACAGTAAACATTCTGACCTCATTCCTCTCCTCCCCTTAATGTCCTACTGATACCTCCCATTGCTGAGCTTCATTGGAAGCCTGAGGGCAAGGGAGCCCATTTTTGACGCCCATGGACATCAGTCTCCCAGGGTACAGGGTAAGTTGAAGATGGAAGTTAATCAGAAGGAAGAAACTAAGAAATATTTGGCAGAGATCTCTAGTATGCCTTTTGTGAGCCTTTTGGTAGCATCTTTCATCATGCAGAGACCAGAGTGAGTGTTCATTTTAGAGGATAATGTGTTAGCTGGTATGCCTAATTAGGTGGTGTCATAACATTCACAAAACTTCCCTAAATTCTAACAGGTTTTTTTTTTTTTTTTTAGACAGAGTCTTGCTTTGTTTCTCAGGCTGGAGTGCAGTGGCACGATCTCGGCTCACTGCAACCTCTGCCTCCTATGTTCAAGCAATTCTCAAGCGATTGTCCTGAGTAGCTGGGACTACAGGCGCCCACCACTATGCCCGGCTAATTTTTGTATTTTTAGTAGAGATGGGGTTTCACCATATTGGCCAGGGTGGTCTCGAACTCATGGCCTTGTGATCCGCCTGCCTCAGCCTCCCAAAGTGCTGGGATTACAGGCATGAATCACCACACCCGGCCAATTCTAACAACTTTTATGCTAGTGCTTCTGCCCCTAAGGACTGTGTCATAACCAGGGAACAAATGCACCTCAAGAAGTTTTGACTTATTTTCCCCGAACTGACTTTTTCTCCCTTCTCAGTCTCGAAAATTTTAATCACCCTCCAAAACCCAGGTCAAATATAGTTTCCTGTATGCAGTTTTTCCTGTTCCTCCCCCATTACCCTCTGGCTAATCTTTATTCCGTTTATCCTTTGTATACAATATTTCATTGACCATATGTTTAATTTACTTATCGTTCCCCTACCTCTGACCATGGTTACACTCCTCAAGTTTTTGTTTTTATTTAAAACATTTTTTGCCTTACACACTGTCTGACATTTAGTAGGTGCTCCAGAGGGCACTGTTGACCAAATGAAATTTTCTGTGGGCCTTGGATTATCAATAGGCCACCACATACAGCCACCAGCATCAACAGAAATTTTATGAGCACTTTGGAAAATAGGCAGATGGTTCCTGTTGTCATTTGAAGTACTCCCTCCCCTCACTCCCTCAGTTTTGTGGGAGTAGAGGCTTTCTATTTCCGGGAGAAAGGCTAAATAAAGCTCTGGAGTTTCCAGAAGAATTAATTACAGTGATGCATAGGATTGGACTTTTATAAAAATCCAGAATTTGACTATTTTTTTTCTTTATTTTGTCAGCCCATGTGCATTATTTCAATGTAGTTCTTTGGACATCTGCTATTCAACAGAGTGGCACAATGTTACCCCCTTGTGAATGATACTGGTTTCCTCAATTGAGAGAACTTTTATCAGTGTTCTGTGTCCTTAGATGAACCGTGGGATAAAAAGTAGGAGACGCTAGAGTGGAAGTCAGAGGAAGATGGCCCAATAGCTATTTTTCCTGCTTTCTTTTTCTGGTTAGCCACTACAGAACTGTACTTGAGGGAAATAAATTTTTATTTTTCCAAGGGGTGTTGTAAACCAGAGACTGAGTAGTGTAGTCTAGAATTGCAGCCAGAAGCATTAGCTATGTATGCTGTATATTAGGGATTTTAATTGAAAATATATATGTTTATGAATATCTGTTTATTAAGAATAAACTTCATAAAGTTTATGAGTCCAGTGGACCACATAGAGATGAGAGAGTAGAATACAGAGCTAATTATATAGATTAGGATAAGATTTCTGGATTGCTTTTAACAGCTGTTCATCATTAATGGATTAAAAACAGGTTCTTTTCTTCATCTTTGTCATTCATAAAAGTATGTACTCCCTAGTCCCTGGAACACATTACTGTGCTTTATTGTCTTTAGGCTTTTCACTCAATTAATAATCTCTTTAATGGAGTTACTGAGGTGTGTTTCTTTCTTGAATGTCTTGAAGAAATACCTTTCTTCTCATCACCCATCATTGTAATTAAAGATCCATTTTAGGGAGAGGAATTTCTTTTTATGGGCTTGAGTTACTTATTATTTATGCAGTGCCCGATCTCTTAGGAGACAATTCAGCAAGTCCACAAATGGCCTAACAAGTTCTTATGGTGTGTCAGAAACTCTTTTCTAGAACAGAAGGTGGAGAGTTAAAGTAGGGCAGATGCTTCCTTAATGTGGTATCTACTAACTGGAATGAACTAGAGGAGGATTTAAAAAGGGACCAGAAACCCCAGTGGCTCAGTTGTGATGACAAAATGATAGCTGTCCTAATTTTGGGGAAATGGAAGGAAGGAATTTAGTAAGAAATAATTAACATCAAGAAATGAAATTGAACACCAGTAAGTAGCATCCAACATAATGATCATCCAAAACACCAACAAATGAGATAAAGAAAGGCAAAAGACCTGTACAGAGGATAGATTTATTGGTGTTCTCTAGGAAGAAGAAAGGTGTTACCAAGTGCCAAGTGGGCTAGTTACAGATAGGTGTAAGTAAAAGAACTACACAAAGCGGGAATCAGGTCAGATTATTGAATAAATTGGAGAACTACCACAATCTTGTGGGGATGAGATCAGAATAACTCAAGCAAAAGAGGAGAGACAGTTTACAAAGACATTTAGGTAATGGAAAAATTTGTCACATGTATGAAACCATTGATTAAGGACAATAGTACTTTCTAACAGGACAACAAATCAGCAATGGCTAGTGGCAAAAAGGAAGACATGTTGTATGTTATTCCTCTTCTATCTGTAGGGAGAAATAACTTGACCAATAAATGAGCAAAAGAAAGGCTTATCCCTTGTGATGTTTTTAATAAAATGGGGAACAGAGGAATAGAAGGGGTAGGAGTGTAAGAGAGAGTCTGAAAAGTACCACAAAAACCACATGCATTTAAAAATTTAAGTTTGATCGTTTGCATCATTGGATTGAGTGATGTTGGTGCTAGTCTTATAATTTTGAAAAAATGTATGGGTTCTTGCACACGTAAGTTATAGGAAGTTGTAAACTATAATAGCATAGACTTATTTATTTTTCTTGGGTCAGCATTCCTTCAGTAGCTCATTTGTCAATATTGTAGTCACTAGCATTTAATTCAGTTTAGTTCAGTATAAGGACAAATTGTACCATAACAATTTAATCCCCAGCTTTAAACAGACTTTTTACTCAGGACCTTAGTTCTATTCCTTTCTGAATGAAATTTCCTTACTGGTTACATGTCTATAAAAAATGATAATAATATTAAATTATAAGAATTCTTATTTTGGCTCCTATTGTACCCTATACTGATAAAAGTAGAAGGATGATTGGGACTTGATTATTTATTACTATGAAAAGGCTAATTTTGGGATTATGACTTTTTATGAATGGAGGTGTAAAGATATCCAGCTTTATTATCTTTGCATAACAATGTATGTGTGTATATCTGTAAGTATATGCATACATGTATGCAGGAATGTTAATTGTTGTATTACACTTCTATTGATGACGTAGGGGTTCTATATTTAATTTTCTTGGGGACTCAAGGTATCCAAACGGTAATTTAAAAAATACAGCAACAGTCTGGGGAGCCAAAGAGTAAATCATGCATTCTTTAACACATGGGAAGGCCCAAGCTGAGATGTTAGGGTGCCTCATGAGGGAAATGACTTAGAGAATTTTCAGGTGGTGTTGTAACAACACTTTTATAGCTATGTAGGCTCTCATTGTCTCATAGTATCTCATTTGTGCAAGATGCTATCATGTGGCTATGGCAATAATATTATAATATTTAATAGACATTTTATAGATAAGGAAATCAAGGCTGAGAGAGTGACTTGCCAAAGGTCGCTAGTATGTATTAAGGCCTGTGAAGGGACTGAGTTTTCACTCTATTTACAAGCTAACAAGCTAACCCATTACTGTATCATAAATAGTGACAGAAGACACAAAACTCCCGATTGGAGACTAAGGACTTTTATTACTTGTGGTACAATAAGTAATGTGAGCTTCATGTTGATTTGACCTGGTGCTCTGTTCCCTTTCAATCCATCGGGGGCAGTGCTGATACCCCTATTATATGGTTGCTGTGCAAGCAGGTGGGCATTGAGAAACATTGAGCTTATGGATTAACCACTTTTATACTAAGCAGAAGCAAGCCAGGTCTGTCATGAAGACATTACCTTATCCTTAAAGTTTGCTTGTTCCCAACATAACCTTGAGAAATGATCCATGAAAAGAGCAGTCTGGGTCTTGCATTCTTGGCATACACAGCAAGAATGTGCAGGAACTCTTAAGGTTGTGGTGAATTGCCTCTTAATAGCAGTATGTGACAGAACTAATGTATAAACTCAGTTTTGCTAAGTTTCATGACTAAAACTCTAGTTGAAAAGGTAGCAAGTATAAGCCTTTCCCCCAAAATACTTTATTTTAAAACTTTTGTTTTATTTAGGACATCTCAAAACATGTCTTCTTGGCTCATTTAAATATATTCAATCACTAAAACCAGTTTCGGTTATTACAAAGGCAAAGAACAGAAGGCAGGGCCCACTTTTAAGACATTTCCTGAATTTAGTCTCAGAATCTCCCCTAATCTTCACTAGTTCCTTCCACAGCAATGAGCCCATGATAATGTTTTCATAAATGAAGTAGTCCCTTGCCCTATGTCCACAGTATCATTTGTTATACGATAGGAATAATGAAGAAATAAGGAACAAACAATAAGAAGTACTGGTGCATAGTGCATGGCAGGGGAAAAAAAAGTAGTTTATTCAACCTTTTAAAAGCCAGCATAGGGAAACTTTGGTTTGTTTTTCTTGAAGGATTAATTAAAATAGAATTTAAACTTGGAATTAGTAAAGCCAGGCTCCTCATAGATTAGAAAACAGACATGTAGCATGGTTAAATGCTTGTTCAAGAATGAGTTTCCAGTGACAGAGTAAAGTGATGTTATATTATTGTAATTATCATATATCTTGCATTAAAATACTCTTTTTTTTACCTAGTGTAGTTTATAGGGGTAAGTCAGTAAACACTTCTGGATTACTTTGCTTTAGGAATGAATAAGATATATTCTCTGTCTTCAAAGAATCATTTGCTAATGGAGAAATAATAATTCAATTTTTGTCCGTAATTGTTTGTCTTTAAGAAGCAGTTTTAAATACATCTAGTTGTAGAATAATACATTTTTAAAAATCTACTTGGCTTTGTTATTTCTTAGTGTTAGTCAGTTTGATTAAGATTAGTTAATCCAAACGTTAAGACTGATGATTTCTTAGTGTTGGGACTAGATGCATGTGTTTAATGATCTTATTTTTTACATAAAAATACTGAGAAAGAAGATATTTCAAAATATCCAAAGTTGTAAATGTTATATTTCTAACTTTCTCTTTTACAGAAGGATATGTATATTTCATCTATATAGAACCTCAAGTAATAGTTTTGAAATTGAGGTTTGTAGCTAGGTTTCAAACTCATCAATTATAAAGCAGGTGAACTGGCTTGGGTTGGGTGTTCCTGTGAGAATTATTGACTTGAGTATTAATTTAGGGATTTGGAGATTTTAAAATACTAATTTTTCAAGAGGAATTAAAAAGGTGAACCTATCCCTAGTCTTTGAAGTATAGTCAGCTTCCAATTAATCTGCATGTGTGGGACACCATCCCCTCCTAGGTGTGACTTTCTCAGACCTGCTGGAAAATTGCCATTGCTTGGATCCAGTGGAAAAGTTTTCACCCATCTTGCTGGCTTTTAAAACCACTCTGTCTTCTTCACCCATGCAAATGGATGAAATTGGGCATCATCCATGTTTCAAACAGAATCCTCCTTGCCATTAGCAAGAATCATAACCAGATGAGTAGAGGTTAAGAGAATAAGTTAAAGACATTCTGAGTGACATTAGCATCTAAAATTGGCTATCGTATCTGCAATTCAAATGGCACCTAGTTTTTCTTTGTTATGTTGAAATGAAATTTAAAGTATCTTAATAGCCAAATAAATTAGCCTATGGTTATAATCATTTACCTAAAATTAATGGCACACTGATATTAAGTAGTAGCCCAGTACTTGTTTTCATTAGAGTGTTGCGTTTATTATTTTTATCTTTATTATTACATGGGATTTGTTAAGTTTCACAGAGTAGTATAGCAGCCATAAAGCTGGTAGAAAAAGCAGAGACTTGGAGTTAATGAGGTAGCTTTCAGGAGAGAGAACAGCCTGAGCACAGACAGGACTTTATGTTGAAATGCAGAGTTTGTGTGAGCTCCCAAAACAAGTGATATTGAAAGAAAAATATTCAGGCGGGTAAAGGAGTTGGGAATTGAAAGGGTGGAGAAGAGTGTCTAGGAAAAGGGAATAATGTAAGTTGGAGGCATAGAAACAAGAGAGAGCATAGCTGGTAGTGAAACTGCCTAAAATAAACCATCACCACGGCTACTAGTGAAAATCCTTTAATGCAAAGATGTAGCATGGCAAAGCAGAGGGATTTAGAGATGCACTGAAGGGTTTTACGCAGGGTAGTGAGCTGACCAACTTCCTGTTTTACAAATTACTCATATTACAGTGTGTGGAACAGGTTGGTGAGGGCAAGAGTTGACACAGGAAGACTGGTTAGAAGACTTTGCAATATTCTAAGTAAGAGATAATGATGGCCTTCATTAGGGTGGTGTTGATGGGGGAGGAAATAACTTGGTGGGCTGAAGTATTTCAGAGAGAATAGCTCTTAGATTAGATAGGTGGAATAGGGAAGAGGGAGGAATTGACATGGAATTGAGGTTGTTTCTGACTCTCCCTATTTCTGGCGTGGCAACAATCAAGATGGTGGTTTTTCCTAAAGAGGATTGGGGTTTTTGCTGTGGTAAAAAGTAATGTGGTAGGAGAAGAGGAGTTTGGAAACAAAAAATTATTAATTTAGAGAAACACCACTCATCTAGGTTATGTGGAACCAGAAAGCCAAACCTGCTACTACCACGGGCTGTTTTTATAGTCTGTGTGCATAGCTACAAGAAATTACAAGAAATTCTTTGTTTGTTATAATATCATTTAATATGTATTACAGTACACAATATGATTTCCATCTTTCCCTTTTCTATAATACAGTATCTACAGTTAAGTAGTATTAGATCTAAAAGCAATCTTGGAAATTATAGTTTTCCACCACAGTTGAGGAAGCTGGTGCTCTGAGAGAAGACCACATGATACCTATGGAGTGACAAGTAGTAAAACTCAGGTCTGCTACTGGCCATTCCATTGCTCTTGCCTCATTACCTGGACAGCTCCACATTGATTAGTACATTCCATTACAGCAAACAAACAAAGCTGAAGACTTTATTAAAGAAAAATACCAGTATCATAGAGGAGAAAAAATAGTTGCATATTCTTTACTTGACATATTATTTACATGAGATATTTTTGAGGCATACAAAATTCTGTTTTAGAAAACCAGGTTTGCAGAAACTCAATCCTTTCTCTATTGTCATTCCTGTTCTTCCTGTTAACCTTTTATTTTAATGAACTGGAAAGAGTTAGACTTAGGGGATCTGGACTTGGGCTTGGCTTTATCTCTAATAAATAGATGAACTTGTTTTTACCTCTATTTTACCTCTATTGACCTGAGTTTTTTTTTTTTTTAAATTTCACAAAATAAGGCTATGAGACCAGATTCCTTTAAAATCTGTTCCTTGACCTGTCTTGATCATTTTATATTTTTCTCTTTTCTTTTTTTTTTTTGAGACGGATTCTCACTTACTCTGTCGCCCAGGCTGGAGTGCAGTGGTGCTGTCTTGGCTCACTGCAACCTTCACCTCCTGGGTTCAAGCAGTTCTCCTGCCTCTGCCTCTTGAGTAGCTGGGATTACAGGCTGCACCACCATGTTGGGCTAATTTTTCTATTTTTAGCAGAGACCAGGTTTCACCATGTTGGCCAGGCTGGTCTGAAACTCCTGACCTCAAGCTATTGGCCTCCCTAAGTCCTGGGATTACAGGCGTGTTACTGTGCCTGGCCTCATTTTATATTTTTCATCTGTGGTTGTCTTGCCTTTCTTCCTTAAACTGCTTCTCTTTCTCCATGGCAAGTAGGGAATCTCTTTAAAAACTTTGGTACAGTAAGTGAGTGGTTTATATTCCAGAATAGTCTGTCCTGTTTATAGAGCCTATAGAATAGGACTAGATTTTGGTTTGTTCTGTTATGAACATATCTTCATATTTACTTTTCTTCTTTGAAAACAGATTTTGAAATTTGAGAGGGAAGACAGATAGGATGGTGTTGGATTCAAGTGGATGTGTGAGGATGTGGGGTGGGTGTAGTGCGGTGGTCTTCCAGTGGAGGAAAGGCAACTCATAATAATTCACTAAGTTTTGGAGAGAAGATATTAGAACTTTCACTTATATTCATTTTTAATTTATTTCTTTTTAAAATTCTGCTTTTCTATACACAGTCAACTCTCCATATTCAGGGGTTCCACAACCACAGATTCAACTGACTGTGGATTGAAAATATTCAGAAAAATAATGGATTGTTACATCTGTACTGGATATGTACAGACTTCCTTTTCTTATTATTCTCTAAATAATGCAGTATAATAACTATTTACATAGCATTAACATTGTATTAGGTATTATAAGTGATCTGGAGATGATTTAAAGTATACAGGAGAATAAGTGTGTAAGTTATATGCAAATACTACATAATTTTATGTCAGGGACTTGAACATCTGCGGATTTTGGTATCCATGGGGAGTTGTGAAACCAATGTGAAACCAATCTTTCATGGATACTGAGAGATGACAGTATTTCAATATATGACAAATCAATATAGTAGGACATGAATATTATTTATAAATGAATATATATATACATATATATTGTGGGAATATGCTTAACATGTTACACTGATAGAACATAATGGTCAAATAGGTTCAGAAACCACTGGTGAAGAGTTAGCAAAAAAGACGAGTCAAGGGCGTCAAGACATTAAGATAAATAAATGTCCTTGCTTTTTTATTTTTCCATACTATCATCACTGGAAATAAAGAGAAAAAAATCTAAAACAATAATAATAGCAAATAGCATTTTGGTAGCAGAATTTATTGGACTGAGTGTCTACCTCTTACAGAGTAGAGGAAAAGTATCCACTTGGGTAAGTATCTAATTTTAAGATGGATTTTACTTTGTTCATGATTTTGGGGGATTGTTAAGTAACTCATTGGGATTAAGAAAGTCATCTCATGTACTGAAATTGATTCATTATAATTCAATTTATTTAAACTTTTCAACTGAATAAGCATTAGGTAATTACATGAGTTTTAAAAAAGATTTGGCCAAGAGTTTTTAAGTCCTATTTTTTGAGAGGTTTTTTTTTGCCATTTATTTTATTTTTTTCTTTTCTGATTATTTCTCACAGAATAAGACCACAGCTTGCCAAAGAGAAGATTGAAGGATGCCATATTTGTACATCTGTCACACCAGGAGAGCCTCAGGTCTTCCTAGGGAAAGATAAGGCTTTTACTTTTGACTATGTATTTGACATTGACTCCCAGCAAGAGCAGATCTACATTCAATGTATAGAAAAACTAATTGAAGGTTGCTTTGAAGGATACAATGCTACAGTTTTTGCTTATGGACAAGTAAGTGCCATATTATTTTCATAGGAGTTGAAACTTTTCAGAAATGTTAATTCAGTTGCGCTTTCATTTTTGTTTCTTAAGGTTATGTTAAGGTTGAACACTAATCTTTCTCTGTTCTTTTGTTTAGACTGGAGCTGGTAAAACATACACAATGGGAACAGGATTTGATGTTAACATTGTTGAGGAAGAACTGGGTATTATTTCTCGAGCTGTTAAACACCTTTTTAAGAGTATTGAAGAAAAAAAACACATAGCAATTAAAAATGGGCTTCCTGCTCCAGATTTTAAAGTGAATGCCCAATTCTTAGAGGTAATAATCCAATTTTGGCATTAATTTCTTTTAAATTTTGTTCTTATAGACTGTGTTTATGATTTTATACTGTTGGCTTCAAGTATAGTGCTTTGAAGATAGTACTCAATAAATGTTGTTTGAGTAAATTAACATTAGATAGTAGAAATAACTTTTCCTTACTTGTAGGAAGTGATGTTTGAGTTTAAGATTATAAACACTTGACCAATGTCCATAGAATAAAAGAACAATTAATATTGTTTATTTAAGAACCCCCCCCATTTTTTTGGAGATAAGAGTCTCATTCTGTCACCCAGGTTGGAGTGTAATGGCACCATTTCGGCTCACTGCAGCCCCTGCCTCCTGGGTTCAAGTGATTCTTGTGCCTCAGCCTCCTGAGTACCTGGGACTACAGGCATGCACCACCACACCTGGCTAATTTTTTGTAATTTTAGTAGAGATGGGGTTTCGCCATGTTGCCTAGGCTGGTCTCGAACTCCTGGCCTCAAGCTATTCACTTGCCTCTGCCTCCCAAAGTGCTGGGGTTACAGGTATGAGCCCAGCCAGGAACTTATTTTTATCAATAGATAAAGGTTATTACTGTTGTAATTTAGACAGGCTTACAGAGTGGTGGGAACTTAATGACTAAGGCCAAAAGTAGGGGAAGTATGTGAGAAATAATAGGTCTGAGGTTGTAGCACTTATCTGGCTGAAGAAATTGTTATCCTTGCATAGGTAGACAGATGTTTTGATATAATGTCTAAAGGTTGTGGTGGATTTGGATTAATTTAGGCTGTCTAGCATAGTAGAAGGAAAATAACACTAAGAGGACATCTAGGATTTGAGCAATATTGCACTTTGGTGGACAGTGGCATAATTCTAGGTTCTTGGTGCAAAGAGAATTTAGTCTAAATTACCTGATCCATGAGCTAATCATTTTCATCATTGATGAAAATTTTCCTCAGCCTTATGTAGCACAACATAGAAAAATTAGTATCAGTTTTTTTTTTTTACTGCTGGTTTTAATGGATATCCTTATTTAGTAAAAACCAAAGAGAATATAACTATGTATTCCTAAGGAAAGTAAATGATGGTGGAAAAAGAAAAGAAACAGTGTTATTCCATCTTCCCTTTCACCCTCCAAAATGTTGTCAGGCATTGTAACTTTAAAACATATTGATAGAAAAATAGGTGTGTATATTCTCTTCTAAGGAGGTATCTGGGTTTTTTCAGCCACTATTGATACAGGAACACTAATATTGTTACTGACCTTGCAAACATGCTAAGTGTTAATTTTTCAACACGTTAAGAAAGGTTTCAGGGCAACAGGAAATATGTTTTTAGCTCAAGTAGTAAAAATTCTTTAAATATTCTGAAGCTTAAGATTTGTCCACATTTGGCACATGTTTCTAGGGTTTGCTTGTATTTGTAAATATTTGACTATCTCTTGCAAAGGATTAGTAGATCATTTTAGCTAGTCCTCAACCCATTAGTCATGATTAAGTCACTTACTGTTTTTACTTTTGTAAATAAATCTGGCATTTACTTATAATTGTTATAATAATAGCCTCATTCATTTTAATGTGTTATTTTGAAAAAATATGTCATTTTGAAATACTTTAAAAATCTGTATGAAGGAATCATTATGTAATGTGTTGTTATGACAACTACCCAGACAATTTCTGCTAAAATTAGATTTCTAATATTTTTTTGATAGCTCTATAATGAAGAGGTCCTTGACTTATTTGATACCACTCGTGATATTGATGCAAAAAGTAAAAAATCAAATATAAGAATTCATGAAGATTCAACTGGAGGAATTTATACTGTGGGCGTTACAACACGTACTGTGAATACAGAATCAGAGGTAATATTTATATTATAGTTAAAACAGAGCATAGTTGGCTTTATTTAAATAGTGAGCTTTGCTGATAATCTGCTTAAGATCAAGATATGAAATTTATATCCTGAAGCATGACATGGAATTAAGATCTTGTGTTCTTTCCTCACATTTAAAAAATCAGAATATTAGTATAAAAATATCAGGATTATTATAAAGTCAGCATATTTGTCATAGCATCAAAAGAATCTAAGGCAATTTATGAACAGTTTTCATTCACAGCTAGAGAAAGAGGGTTAGACAATTGATGGTGAAGAATGAGACCACAATCCTTTTGTACTTTTTGCTTTAACCTATGTAGAACTGTATCATGGCTCCTAGAGGGAGATTGTTGAGAAAAATTACAAAAAATAATTTTAACGGAATATAGAGAAGCGTCTGAATAATTCAAGTTATTGCTCAGTTTGTACCAAAGTGTTCTACTATAACAGTTTTGGAATGGAAGCTGCAAATGTCAGCAAATGGCCAACAATGGAATCTCAGTGTTTTCTTCTATTTAAAAAATAATACACTATTATACTGAGAAGTCCATCTCAAAAAGTGCCTGTAACTGAACTAATAATGTGAAATTCCACATCTTTTATATCCCTTAACATGGTGGGTTTTAGCCATTACCTCAGACTTTGGATTGTATAGTATCTTGTTTATTGTTCAAGTAAAGTCCTTGTTTCTTCCCCTTTTTCAGATGATGCAGTGTTTGAAGTTGGGTGCTTTATCCCGGACAACTGCCAGTACCCAGATGAATGTTCAGAGCTCTCGTTCACATGCCATTTTTACCATTCATGTGTGTCAAACCAGAGTGTGTCCCCAAATAGATGCTGTGAGTTATTAATTCTAATTTCTTAAACTTTCAATTTTTATCTCCCTAAAACCACATGAATTCTCTGAGAATATATTTGAGCCAAATTCAGTTCATTTAGTCATTCCTTTTTCTAATTTCCTTTTCTGATCCTAGTTAAGTTGAAGCTGGTCAGCCATGTAAGATTTTGAAATAAAAAATTGTATAAATGTCTGAAAAACCAAAAAGCATGCTGTGGCCATATGTTGTTGGATGTCATCACCTGAGACCTTTTGCTTTTGAGGATTATATGCTGTAGGTTTCCCTTCATTAGCATAAGCAAAGCCTCAGTTGATAATAGTTGAGTTCTGACCATCCAGGCTTTTTCTGACTTTAAATTTCTAATTGCCAGCAGACATTTTTGAATTTATTTGGCTTTATGCCTGTTTCTTTGGTTGTGCCTATATGTGTACATGGGATAAGCGCAAGGTAGGTTAGGAGGATATTTAATGTTACATTAATAAAGTATTTTCAATTATTTTTCTTAATTTCAGGACAATGCAACTGATAATAAAATTATTTCTGAATCAGCACAGATGAATGAATTTGAAACCCTGACTGCAAAGTTCCATTTTGTTGATCTCGCAGGATCTGAAAGACTGAAGCGTACTGGAGCTACAGGCGAGAGGGCAAAAGAAGGCATTTCTATCAACTGTGGACTTGTAAGATTAAGGCTTTGTGCTGAGAATATATCAGAGCTTTTCTATTGTCCTTTTGTCTTTTGTAATTTATAATATCCATATGGAAATCCTTCAGATACTGAACCAAGAAATGAAAATTATAGAACAGTTATTAGTAATGCACTGAATCTCCAATCTCCTCATGTTGTAGGCTTTTTTCTGTTTTTATATATTACAGATTTTCTTCATGTGTATAAATTTAGTCGTACTAAAATTTATATGTGCAGAAAATTATAGATATACAAATTATTTGAAAAATTCTTTCCACATTTAACAATATACTGTCAAAATCAACTTATTTATTTATTTTTATCTTTTATTTTTTTAAAACAGGGTCTCACTCTGTCACCCACTCTCCTGGAGTACAGTGGTGCGATCATGGCTCACTGCAGCCTTGACCTCACGGGCTCAATTGATCTTCCCACTTCATAGAAGCTGGGACCACAGGCGAGTGCCACCACACCCAGATAATTTTTGTATTTTTTGTAGAGATGGGGTTTTGCCACATTGCCCAGGCTAGTCTCAAACTTCTGGGCTCATGCGATTCACTCACCTCAACCTCCCAAAGTGCTGGGATTACAGGCGCGAGCCACTGCGCTTGGCCCAAAATTTAATATTAAGTTATTTCATGGGTGAAGACCTTCAAAGTAGCCTTTTGATAACATTTTATGACAGTCACTTTATTGACTTTGGAAATTGTAATTTTTTTTAGTAATGATTGTTTCAAAATGATAATTTTTCTAGATTATATTAAGAATTAACTTTAATACCATGCCACCTAGTGGCATTTTGATTGGAAAACTCCTTGTGATTTAGTTAGCATAAAGCTTCATTACATGGAAGGAAATATTTTAGAGCAAAGTTTTGTGTTTTAAATTTGTTCTTATTATCTTCATTACAAAACTGGATATTTGTACCTGCACAAATGTAATGACATCCCTAAATTTCTGCGACACCAATAGCATCAGAGTTGTAACCACCCAAGGGATTCTTTTTGCCTGCTGCCCAGATAGAGCTGATTTATCAAGACAGGGGAATTGCAATAGAGAAAAAGTTTAATGCACACAGAGCCAGCTAAATGGAAGACTGGAGTTTTATTACTCAAATTAGTCTCTCCAAAAATTCAGAGACTGCAGTTTTTAAAGTATAATTTGGTGAATGAGGGGGCTAAGGGAGTGGGGAGTGGAGGTTAAATCATATGGGGTCTAAGTGGATTCTTCTTGCTGTCTTCTGTTCCAGGGTGGGATTACAGAACTGCTTGAGCCAGATTACCAGTCTGCATGGTGTCAGCTGGTGCATCAGAATGCAGGGTCTAAAAAAATATCCAAACATCAATCTTAGGTTTTACAATAGTCATCTTATCCATAGGAGCAATTGGGGAGGCTGGGAATCTCGTGGTCTCTAGCTGCATGACTCTTAAATCATAATTTCTAATAATCTTGTGGCTAATTTGTTAGTTTTACAAAGGCATGCTGGTCCCCAGGGAAGAAGAGGTTTGTTTCAGGAAAAGGTTGTTATCATCTTTTCAAAATTCTTTAAACTATAAATTCCTCCTTTAGTTAGCTCAGCATAGGAATGAACAAGGGCAATTTAGAGATTAAAGGCAAGATGGAGTGGATTAGGTCAGATTTCCCTCACTGTCATACTTGTCTCACTGATATGAATTTTGCAAAGGCAGTTATAGAGTGTGTGGTGTCTGCTTTCCTCCCATTAATCACCCCCCAATATTTACTCCTATATGATTATGATCCGTCTATGGGGAAATTACCAACCAAGCCTGATTAGAGAGAGCCAGACCTTCCAACTCCAATACTCATCTTGATGGTCCGACATGTGGGTGAATGTTGTATAAAATGGCATGCCTGGATTCTGGACTTCTTGCATTGTTTTGAGTTTCTTAGGAGATATAATCATGGTGGTATTTACATTTATGTTGTCAGGAAAAGACAAAAGCCATTGCTTTGTTTTCCTCTTTAGGCTCTTGAAGCATGTTGAGACATATCTAGTAGAGTTTCAGTATTACCATTGCTTATGACAGTAGCTGCTCTGGAAAGGGGGAATGATGAAAAAGTGTGATCCTGTTGCCACTCCCTGCATGATCTATTTTTCCTAACAAAGTCATGGTTATAGATGTTTGCATTACTGATGGCCAGTGTGAACAACATTTTGGATAATGTTTATCTTGTAGGTGATAATTCAGTGACAGTAGGAAAAACAGCAGGGTGGCAGGAGTGACTACAGAGTTCTGTAATTTGACTAGTTTTTAAATAATTGGATGCTAACACATATATTATTGTATTTATTTATTTATTTTGAGGCGGGGTCTCACTCTGTTGCCCAGGCTGGAATGCAGTGGTGCAATCCCAGCTCACTGCAACCTCCACCTCCCAGGTTCAAGCTATTCTTCTGCCTCAACCTCCCAAGTAGCTGGGACTACAGGCACACACCACCACGCTTAGCTGATTTTTGTATTTTCAGTAGAGATGGGGTTTCCCCATGTTGGTCGGGTTGGTCTCAAACTCCTCACCTCAGGTGATCCCCCCACCTTGGCCTCCCAAAGTGCTGGGATTATAGGAATGAGCCACTGCACCCAGCCCATCTTATTGTATGTCTAAGGATAGATATACTTGCATAGGAATACCTTGTTCAGAGAAATAATACTGATTTTTTTTGTTGTGATTAAAGAAGGTTTTCTTTTCCCGTGGGAACTGTATTGCAAAACGAAAATTTGCATCAAACTGTTAAACTAACTAAACATTTTATTTTTACATTGAGTTGAGGAGAAGAATGCGTAACATGAATGGACAATTTTCTGGGGACATAACCTGATGCTCTGATAATTCTAGGGGTAACTAAAGTTGTCAATCTTATTTCTGTTTCAAAGAATTAGTACTATTAGTACTATAGTACTAATATATACATACGGTATTATATATAGTACTAATATATATGTACTAAATTTTCAGTGACATTGGTTACAAATGTAAAACAAAACCAAACACAAATATTCTTAATTATATTATGTCTCTATATTATTCTCTGTAAACTTTCTTTATTTAAAATTGTTATAATTAGTAAATTTGTATCATTTTGCTGTCTTTCTTTCTCTTTCTTTTAGTTGGCACTTGGCAATGTAATAAGTGCCTTGGGAGACAAGAGCAAGAGGGCCACACATGTCCCCTATAGAGATTCCAAGCTAACAAGACTACTACAGGATTCCCTCGGGGGTAATAGGTATGCATAGATGATTATCCTCTACTCAGACTTTTGATTATTCATTATTAAATAAGCTTGTAAGATGATTTATAAGAACTACTTTTATTGCAAAGCAAACTAATAGGATGAGGAACTAATCCTTATACTGTTAAGGATCTCAAATGTGTGAATAATTTTGTATGTTATTTCACATAATCCTAGCATCCCTTGAGGTGTAGGTATTATTATTCTATTTTCTAGATAAGGGAAATGAATCTAGAGAGGTTAAGTAATTTATTCAAGGCCACTTAGCTTGTATATGAAGTCAATAGTATGTGGACTTTCTCTCTTATCGTAGCTTCTGTTTTAAGTACTTAGCACAGAATAGAAAGCTAATAAAATTTTGTTGAAAAAGTACTCTTTCCTAAGTAATTACAAAGTAATTTAAATATTATTGGTACTTTTTTTTTTACAAAGTCTTCTAAAAATTCAAATTTTTTTTTATACGTGGAAAAATCTTAATGTCCACTGAATGAAATACAGAGTGTTGGCTGGTTATTAACTTTGCCAATATCACTGACATTCTTGCTTTCTCATACCTTGCATCATTCTGATATGTTTTTTCAGCTTTTTTTTTTATGGTAATGTATTCCCCTCTGTAAATATGTTGGCTTTACAAATGGAAACATTTTTGGGATTTAAATTCAATCATAGCACAATTCAACAAGTTACCAACAACCACAGTGAATCTATTTTACAGTGTTTGCAATAATGTAACATCATATTTACTGAAAAGATTATTAGATGCTATACAACAAATCTAGTATTTAAACTAGCAAGGTTTCTTTTTGAACAACTGTGTTAGTTCGTTCTTGCACTGCCATAAATACCTGAGACTGGGTAATTTATACAGAAAAGAGGTTTAATTGTCTTACAGTTCTGTAGGCTCTACAGGAAGCATGATTCTGGCAGCTGCTTGGCTTCTAGGGAGGCCACAGGAAACTTACAGTCATGACAAAAGGCAAAGAGGGAGTGAGAACTTTACAGGGCTGGAGCAGGAGGAAGGAGAGGAAGGTGCCAAACACTTTTAAGCAACCAGATCCCCTGAGAACTCTATCATGAGAACAGTTCCAAGAGGGAAATTTGCCCCCAACATCTAATCACCTCCCACCAAGGCCCCACCTCCAACACTGGGGATTACAATTTTACATGAGATTTGTGTGAGGGCACAGATCCAAACTGTATCAACAACTATTATCCAAATAATTTTGGATAATATTAAATCCTTTTAAGTTTATAATCCGTTTGGTTTAGAAATAAAGTTCTGTTTTGGCCGGGCGCAGTGGCTCATGCCTGTGATCCCAGCACTTTGGGAGGCCAAGGCGGGCAGATCATGAGGTCAGGAGATCAAGACCATCCTGGCTAACACGGTGAAACCCTGTCTCCACTAAAAATACAAAAAAATTAGCCAGGCGTGGTGGCGGGCGCCTGTAGTCCCAGCTACTCGGGAGGCTGAGGCAGGAGAATGGCGTGAACCCAGGAGGCGGAGATCGTGCCACTGCACTCCATCCTGGGAGACAGAGCGAGACTCCGTCTCAAAAAAAAAAAAAAAAAGAAAGAAAGTTCTGTTTTGTAGAATACAACATTGTCATTTTTATGTTTCTTCCTTTTATGTACTATTAGCATTTGTCTTAACTCATGTCTCTTCCAGCACATCCTATGTATGGATGCAGTTTTCCTTCCACTATCATATATTTCTTGTGTTCTATATTTTCAGTTTGATCTTCAGTATCAAGAGGGGTCTTATTATAACAGAATAAAAATTTTCATTTTTTCAGCCAAGTGTAAATTTTTTCGGGTTTTCTAAATTGTAGCTTTTTCCTGTATTTATTTCTTAACTATAAAACAAAGCAGACATGATATATGTCCTCCCCTTACTATTTTAACTCTTGAAAACTTCAATACTTTTGAAAGTTTGCTTACCTTATAAGTGGTCTAAGATATTTTCACTGTGGATCTTGAATTTCTGCTGAGTTTTAGGCTACAGCTAAATAGTCTCATGTTCCTCACCTATTTCCTTAATGGGTGGTAACCCCTCAAAGGAGATGACCCCTTCTAATTCCTTTCTTCGTGTGCCTCAATTTTTGCTTAAAATTTTAGGATTGCATTCCTAGTGCAAAAGCACTGTACTTTGTGTAAGCCTTGGAGAGCAAAATATCTTCACTTTTTGAAGTTTATACAAATTAAACTTAAAAGAAAAATTAGACCAAGGATATTTTTGAAAATAAGCTCCATATGTTTATGTGCATAATTTAGTGTCTTTTAAAAAATTCGAGCTGGTTTTTTTACATTTACAGTGTTTAATAAATATCATAACCAGTTTATGGCAAAAATTCTGGAAAATACAGGAAAGTATAAAGCATGAATAAAAATCAGTTATATTTATAGCTGGGCACAGTGGCTCAAACCTGTAATCCCAGTACTTTGAGGCCTAGGTGGGCGGATAACCTGAGGTCACAAGTTGAAGACCAGCCTGGCCAACATGGCAAAACCCCGTTTCTACTAATAGAAACACAAAAATTAGCTGGGCATGGTGGTGGGCACCTGTAGTCACAGCTACTTGGGAGGCTGAGGCAGGAGAATCGCTTTAACTCAGGAGGCGGAGGTTGCAGTGAGCTGAGATTGTGCCACTGCACTCCAGTCTGGGTGACAGAGTGAGACTCCATCTCAAAAAAAAAAAAAATCATATTTCTAATACCTAGAAGTAACTACTGCTAACATTGTGATACATTTTCAAGATGTGTAGTATAACTTAATTTGTAAGAAATATAATATACAATATAATAAAATATTTAAGTGATATAGTTCTCTTTAAAGCAGAATTGTGTGCTTTTTGTGTGAACTTTTAAAATAAATAGCTTTTTTTTAGCTTTATTTTATTTTCTTTGAGTTTTTCATAAATAGAATCATTCTTGAAATTTATATATTTTGGGTTTTGTTTAATATATGATGTTTTCCCTATACAATTGATCCTTGCCAGTTACTCTTATTCCTGACTTTCACTATTCTTCTTAAGCCCTTGATCCCAGCACTTCTCAAAATATTTGTTAAAGGCGAGTCCTTCCCTTCTTTCCAATTTGTGGTGAGTTAATATTGTGCATGACCATACAGAGCTTGCCCCATTTGTGACTCACCATCGGAGTTTGAAAACACTTGAACTGATCTATACTCAATGAGAGGAGGTCATTGATTACAGGAAGTTCAAGTGTTGTGGAAGTTTCTAAAGTGCTTACTTGCAATTTCTGCATTACTTTAAACATTTTTTGTAAATAAGTAAGAAATGGATGTATGTACCTGTGCTTACTCAAGGTGTTGTGGGTCAAAGAAGGCTAATATAAATTTATTTTCCCCAATTTTATGTAAGTAAAAATAATCTGCAGACTGGTGCTAGACTGGGGACCACACTTCAAGTTGCTCTATTCTCTAATCAGCATCCATAATCCTCACGCTTACTGAATTACCTTATTTTCTTTATCAAAAGAGAAAACTAAAATGGCATGAATTATTTTAACTTTCTGACCCCCAGTAAATATTATGTACACATGACACACATCACAATTGTTAATGACCTAATATTGGTTCAAATGTTGTGTTATATGTTTAGAAGTATGCTGATAAATAAAAGTTGATAATCCCTGTCCTTTAGGAATCTAAAGTCTAAGAGTTTTGGGGTCTATAAAATTTCAATATAATAATAATATAAAGAATGCAAAAGAGATATCCAAAAGGTGTGAGGAGGCAGAAAGGGTACAGACAAATGGAGGATTTGGTTCTTGGATTAGGTGATACCTTAGTTGATTGTTGAATAATAGTAACAGTAAGGGTAAGCAAGAGTTGTAGGAAAAAGGTGTGGAATGGGACAAGGGGTACCTACGAGTACTGTGTTGAGATTATTGTCGAAAGAAAAGATTGGAAGCAGGAGACTAGGAGGCTAAGATTATGATTGATAGGCATTGATTTTTCTACCAGGATAAGTAGACTGCTCCTTAATTGCAGTTCCTACACATTTTTTAGTTAGTTTGTGAGTGTCTGTTAGAATCTCCATGTCTGCTTTATTTACAAACATAACATACAAACATAATGGGGCATACTTAGCATTTCACTATCCTAATCTTCGGTGGCTAAATCAATTTATCATGACCGTAAAGTAATGTTTCCCACTTTTCCTATGTAATCTGGCCAGAAACTGTAATTCTGATCATTCAGTCACAAATGACAGTTTATATAACGAAACACAAGAATATACTAAGTACTCTTCTTGTTTCAATGTGATTGGATTTTGTGTACAATTCTTTGCTGGCATCAAAAGTCAGGATACTGGTGATTAAGAATAAATTTTTAAAATACTGAAAGAATAAATAATGAAAGAAGTGGTTTTAGATTTTCAGTGTAATGTATTGTAGTCAGTTTAATTTTAGAATTACTGTGTGCACTGCTTCAAATCTTTTTAGCAAAGAGGTAAGAAATAAATGTATGTGCTTATACTTTCTCAAGGTCAAAGGTGAATAATATCAATTTATTTCCCCAAAGTAAACAAAAGCTTTTTCTTAAGATAGTCTTCAAGTACAGGGGCTTTTAAATTTGCTCAATATTTTGGTATCTTGAAGAGAAGATACTATTCAAATGTTAGGAATTTAAAAATGATTATTTTAGCATTTTAGGTGCTTTTATGTGTAAGCCTAACTATTATTTGTAACTTTCAGCCAAACAATCATGATAGCATGTGTCAGCCCTTCAGACAGAGACTTTATGGAAACGTTAAACACCCTGAAATACGCCAATCGAGCTAGAAATATCAAGAATAAGGTGATGGTCAATCAGGACAGAGCTAGTCAGCAAATCAATGCACTTCGTAGTGAAATCACACGACTTCAGATGGAGCTCATGGAGTACAAAACAGTAAGCTAATGAGTTTGACTTTGCATTTTGTGATACATCTAAGGCTGGCACTTTCTGAACACAATAATGCCTTACACATACGTGTTTCTGGAATCTCTTGGTTGTCATAATAGTGTCCTCCTTCCTTTTGGAGGTAAGAGTCTCTAGTTTTCCTTGTGGACAGTCTTTAACTATGTTCAGTCTAACTTAACAACTGTTTGTTCAAAAGCTTTCCTACCCAATTTTTTTTTTTTTTTTTTTTTTTTTTTTTTTTTTTTTTTTTTTTTTTTGAGATGGAGTCTCCCTCTATCACCCACGCTGGAGTGCAGTGGCGTGATCTCGGCTCACTGCAACTTCCGCCTCCCGGGTTAAATGATTCTCCTGTCTCAGCCTCTTGAGTAGCTGGGATTATAGGCACCCGCCACCACACCTGGCTGATTTTTGCATTTTTAGTAGAGATGGGGTTTCACCACGTTGGCCAGGCTGGTCTTGAACTCCTGACCTCACGTGATCTGCCCACTTTGGCCTCCCAAAGTGCTGGGATTACAGGTATCAGCCACTGCACCTGGCTAATCAATTTCTTTAGTAACAAATGCATTGTGGAGTGTTCTACTAGAGGTGAAAGGATTTCTTTTGCCTTGGGGTTGGTAAGATGAAAACGCTCTTGGTTAGAGAATTGTATAGTTATAGAGTATTCTTAAGCAAAACTCTTGTGTTTTTAAGGCTCCTCAACCAACAAGGACATTATTTTCCTTTACTAGGGTAAAAGAATAATTGACGAAGAGGGTGTGGAAAGCATCAATGACATGTTTCATGAGAATGCTATGCTACAGACTGAAAATAATAACCTGCGTGTAAGAATTAAAGCCATGCAAGAGACGGTTGATGCATTGAGGTCCAGAATTACACAGCTTGTTAGTGATCAGGCCAACCATGTTCTTGCCAGAGCAGGTATGTGGGTAGGGTGGGATAAGTGAGGGATTAACTTCTGGAGGGCAGGGAACATTCTTTGTGTTCACTAATTACCTAGCATAGTTGAAATAGAAATGCCAGTCTCTGTGTATACAGTCTGTGGTTTTAAGTTAAATACCTAATTTCAAAAAATAATAAATTCTTATATAAACAAAATATTCCCTTTGTAATCATATTATCTTGTGGTCTGCTCATGTAATAAAGGGTAGAAAATTTGCTGTAAGAATTGTGTTTTAAAAAATTATTGTTTTGTTTCCCGACTTTTTTTTTCTCCTGTTTTGTTGAAGTCTTAATTTAAAGGAAAATTTTTATTTCATATTTTGTCTTTCAGGTGAAGGAAATGAGGAGATTAGTAATATGATTCATAGTTATATAAAAGAAATCGAAGATCTCAGGTATAGTTCATGTTCTGTAACATATAATGCACATGTTTGTTTTGGATTTTGCAATGTTATAATATTTCTGTTTGTTGGGCTTAGTGTTCAACAGTTGTCCATGGTGATATTTCAGCCCTTTGGTTAGGTTAACTTTAGGAGATTCTTTACTTACCTTTCCCTTGATGTCATATTCCAAGCTGTTTTCCTCCTTTCTCTTCCCATATTATTCTCCTACTCTTACTGCTATGTCCCAATATTGGGTGCTTACCTAACTTGACATATAAAACAGGCAAAGTTTATGTTGCTGAAGTTATCTTTGATGCCTTTCCTTCGTATGCCTCTTCCCCCATCAGTTGGGAATAGATCAATATCTACACATCATCTCCAATTTTTTGAATCTCCTGTTCTCTTTTATATCTTCAGCTATTCTTACATGTAAATCATGGCATACCTACTAATTTGCCTGCCCCTCTGTGGTACATCCATTCACATTTCATACAACATGCCACACATACTTGCATATGTCAATACCATGACTGGGGCTGGGGGCAAGCATGACATGAAGAGTTCACACTCTAGGTTGGGCAGCATACATAAATCATCACATGTAGTAAACAGAATGACAAAATTTAGTTAAATGATGCCCATGCTGGTGTAGGAATGTGGAGGGGACTAGACTTGGGGAATAGGGTTGGGAAAGAAGATTAAGTCAATAATATTTTCAGGTTCCACGGTTTCCCGTGATGACTGAGCTATTTTTTTCTTGAAGGAAAACCCCAGTCAGCTCCATGGGGGAGCATCTAAGTAGTTCAAATCTCACTTCTGCTTACCATTTGCAGAACATAAGCAAACGGGAGGAGATCATCTTTCACAGTTACCCTGTCTTGTATTTGTGTTCTCTTTCTCTTCCTCTGGCTATTCTAGAGGTTCTCAAACTGTGGCAAGTACTATCTCCACTGTTTCTGGCTCCATAAGGCACACTGGATCTCTTAAATGTTTCAAAAAGCAAAAACAAATGAAAACACATCCCGATGTGGCAATATAGTTATTCAAGTATAATTTTATTCTGTGTATGTGTGTGTGTACATATATATTATAAATGTTATGCATATAACATATATATATATATATATATATATATAATTGTTCATGCTTCATGTTTTTGGTAGAGACCTTTGAGGCACTGCATCCTGGTTCTGCTCAGCAACCAACCTGGACTTGCAGTTTCTACCCCGTGTTGAGAGTACTGTTCCCTGCCTACTGCTAAAAATTTGTTCTTTGACCAGTCTTTCCTGATTTCGTTGACCCCATCTTTACCACTCCTTGAGACACAACTGATAGCTCTGTTTTTTTAATTCTTGAAGTTTCTCTTTCTGCTCTTAGGCTGCGTCTCTTTTCTCTTTTATTTCTTTGGCACTTGCCAATTGTTAAGGCCAATTGCCTATATGAGTTCTTATGCTCTCTTTCCTTTCCTCCACTCTGTATTCTAAGTTTGTACCTCAGCTTTATGTCACTATTAGGCAAATTGCTTGACTAGTGCTTATTTCCTAGAAAACTACCAGAATCACTTCCACTCCTTCTGGTGGCTAAAAGCAGCATCTAATGTCTTCCTTCTTCAAAGTCTTGAGTTAAGACTATTCCTTCCTTAAGCCATTTAGAGAACAGAGATGACTCATGGGCTCTGAGTTCAGTTGCTGATCATATCTTTCCTGGTGTAGGTTAATACCTTGTTCCAGATTCTCAACTTGTCTCTGATGGCTCTTTAATTAGGTGTGTCCCACCCCTGGGGAGTAGCCTTCTAGAAGGCCAGGATTATAATTTACATATGGGATAAGCATAAATGAACCTTGAATTCAAATTGGATTACCTGGATTGAAATTTAAGCTTCTATTTATCAATAAGGTGTACGACCTTGGGCAAGTTACCTAACATCTCTGAGTTTTAGTTTATTCATCTGTAAGAATGAGATAATACCTGCTAATCTCAGAGAGTTATTATGGGGCTCAAATAAAATAATAGTATATATACGTTCTTAAATATAAAGGTATCATAAAGGTATAAAGTGTTACGAATATTTAGGTCCAAATTCTCAAGTTCTGTTTTTACCTGCTAAACCCGACTTCAACCTATATTTCTGTCAAAATTAGATCTTAGGAAGACATTTATTCACAGCTCTTTAAACTTAATGCAAATTTATGTTTGTTTATTGCCATTTGGGAATATTTCTATTTCATCTTATCATTTTATTGTAAATGAATAGTAGTTACCTTTTAATAAATTTACATGTCACATTACTTGTGAGATAATAATAATCACTAATTAATTAATCCTTGTGTTTTTTGGGGCATGAAAAATTTTGCAGAACATTTTGAAAATATAGGAAAATGTAAGAGAAAATTAAAATCATGTGTATTCCCATTATTCTAAGAACTGATGTTAACATTTTGATCTATCTCTTCAATATTTTTCCAATGAATACTTTAACGTAAATGACACCAGACTGTATATTTTGTTTTGCTATCTATTCTTTGAAAAGCGGTAATATATTATGAACATTTTTCAATGTTAAAAAGTTTCTACAATGATTTTTGCATGGCTTCATATAGTACTGTCCTGTTGTAATTCACTTATTTAACTCTGTGCTGTTAATGATTATATTATTTCCAACTTTATGATAAGAATACTTACTATTTTTTAAATATCATGTTAGTTGGGGGACTTTTAAATTCATTTTATCATTGATTCTCAAAACAATCCTAGGGAAGTATATATTTTTAATCTCAGTTTTACAAAGGGAAGAGTGGGGCCTTTTAGAGACTTGATGGTCCAAGATCCAATGAATGACAGCTGGCATGCAAGCCCTCAGTGTGCTCCTTCCCAAAGAAGTTTGTACACTTGCCCTCATACCTCACTCTTTAGTCTCTATTAAATGAAATGCAGGAAGTACCAAGTGGGTGGGTGAGTGAACGGGAAGAGAGAGAGAGAAAGAGATGGGGAAAGAGAGATGTTCTCCCTGTAGGCCATACAAAAAGTAGATTCTGTTAATGTGGAGTTTGTGGAGGTAATCCCTAAAAGGCCTTTGTCAGCACTAGATCAAAGACTCATTGGATATGCCCCTACCAAATGCAGACTTTTAACATTATGTAAAAAACAAATTTTAAAATAAAATACCTACATTATTTATTACATAATAATAAAGGAGACAATTAAAATATAGATCATTATGGTTAGCTGATTTATTATATTTTCATGCATTCTTAGCATTCATTATTAGGTACCTAGGCTTTGTGCTAGAAATTAAAAATATAGAAAAGTATAATATATTATTTGTACTTTTCTGTTGTTTGATAATCATGAATTTTAACTTTGAGTTTTTATATGAATTTTCTCTAAAACATTTTTGAAGTCATTTAATTAACCTAGAAGTTTGCACACAGCTATTTAACCATCTAAAAACACTGTAATTGTTCTGCTCGCATATGGTATCACATATATAATAAAACAATTTCATTAAAGAATGTGTAGGACCAGGTGGGGTGGCTCATTCCTGTAATCCCAACACTTTGGGAGGCTGAGGTGGGAGGATCACTTGAGGCTGGGAGCTTGAGACGAGCCTGGGCAATATAGTGAGACCCCATCTGTCTCAACTATTTCAAGAGTAGAATGAATAATTTTGGTAGGCAATGGAAAAGCACTGAGCTGACTGTGCCTTCCAGAGCTTAGTGTTGCAAATAATCTAGCATCTTTCTCTGAAATATTTGAACATATGGCAAAGGTGCTTAGTAATATAGTGTTGAGAGAGAGATAGGTTGTGTTTTCTTCTTATTTTTCAGTCTCAATCACTGTTGTGCCAAACTAACCTTGAAAATCTATTATATGTAAGTAGATAATTGTATTTTTGATGGTTTAAATCAAGTAGAAATAAGGGAATTGGCCTAGAGGACTCTCTGAATCCTTTTAGTCTCAATAGTCTAGGCTCTTTTAGGATTTCATTGTTTGATGTCTTCATGTGTGAGGATCAGTGTGTATGTTATTCTCCTGTCATTATTAGGACTGCTTGAGCAAACAAAAGAATTTTTTCAATTATCAAACTCAAGTTTCCTTGGAGATACTGTCTTTTCCCACGCTATATTCAGGAGCCAGATGTCCGTCAGCCAGTTTGGGGCAGATTTGACAAATTATTCCTTGCACAGTTTTGGAAATGCTACTATTGTGTGATGAATGAGGAACTGAAACTAAGGGGAGCATGCTGCTTGTGTATTTTTTAAGTTTAAATAATAGGTTTACAAGCAAGGACAACTGATGTCCGCTGGCCAGAATTCAAGTAATCTAATTACCACTGGCATCTGAATATGTAGAATTCTTTTGAGTATTAAGATTATGATTACAAATATATAATTATTCAATCAGGAAATATGAAAAAATTGTTAAATGTTAATGTGTGTGAGCATTCTTTTATGATTATTTTTATTATTTTGTGAGAATTTTATTTAGTTTAAAAATCCTTATCTTGTAGCCATGTTGAAATGCATTTTGGAAAACTTTTTAGCATGAAGACTAACTCATTTAAAATGTTCCTGCCTTATTGCTAGAGCAGTCAGATTCATAGAGACAGAAAGTAGAATGATGGATGCCAGAGCTGAGGTAGAGGGGCTGAGGGGAAGTTAATATTTCATGGGTATAGAGTCTCAGTATGGGAAGATAAAAAATTTCTGGAGATGGATGGTGGTGACGGTTGCAGAACAATATAGATTTGCTTAGTGCTACAGAGCTGTACACTTAAGAAATGGTAGTGTGGTACACTTTATGTTATGTATTTTTATCCACAGAGAAAAATGCTCCCTATTTAAATATATTTTTATTTGCTAGGGCAAAATTATTAGAAAGTGAAGCAGTGAATGAGAACCTTCGAAAAAACTTGACAAGAGCCACAGCAAGAGCGCCATATTTCAGCGGATCATCAACTTTTTCTCCTACCATACTATCCTCAGACAAAGAAACCATTGAAATTATAGACCTAGCAAAAAAAGATTTAGAGAAGTTGAAAAGAAAAGAAAAGAGGAAGAAAAAAAGGTGGGATTATAAAATCACCACTAAATGAATCTCTATTTCCTTTTCAGGGTATTTTAATTTGCAATTATAAAGAGCATACATAGTCTCATGAGTACCTTAGTATATGAAATAAATCACTATGTTAGCTGAAACTACAACTATCTAGTTTTTAATGGTTTATCTCTACTTATATGTAAGAAAAATAGATTTAATTGTAATAACATGGTAATGAATTTTATTTAGAACATGACAATATAAAATTACTATTATAAATTATTTTATTATTTCTTCAAATAGCTGCTTTTGCATTCCATTCATTTTGCTTTTCAGCAAAGCTTGCTGTACCATTACAACTCAGTGTTTTCATTTTTTCCCCATTTCCTAATGCAATTAAATAGTCTCATGGATATTTTCATCCCTGTCTAGATTAGTTTAACTAAAGGCTAAACTAATCCATCAGAATGTCATGTAATGTCATTTGGTCTCTTAAATATTTTCTGCAGGGCTTCTAATTTGATTATGTGAAAATTATTTATGCTATTTCAGGCTTTTTGAATCTTCCAACAAGGAGTTACTCAGCTTTTCACCACTGTTCTGGGCTTTCTCTTCTTTGCATCCTGATACTATGTCCCTCTGAAATCAACCGGGTGCAAAGGAGAGGAAGAAAATGAAAATTTAACCACTTGTAATGTGTAAGTGGTTAAATTCTCATAAATTCTTTACATGTTTACACACTGATTCTATGGTGCAGTCAGATTGCTTACAGAGACTATATTTTGAGCATGCCAGTCAAATTAAATTTAAACATTTTTGGCTAGATATTCAAAAGGAAGCAAAATCATCTTATTTGCCACCTGGTTTGTTACAGGAGGAATGCTTTGTAGAATTGATGTAGACGTTTAGCCTACCTGCTGCTTTGCTCAGTTTATTTAAAAATGTATTTAGGTAGCCAGGCATTTCTTCCTGGAGCAGCCAGTTGATCAAAGTCATTGGAAGTTTAAATTCTTCCAATTCTGCTTTGTGTTCCTGAGTTTAAAAAGAATAATTAAAGCAAGGAATTATACATTATGGTTAGTAGGCATTGCAATTGAAATTGCACTCTTGAGATATTAATGTCTTAGATGTTTTCATGGATCATTGATTATGGCAGCATTAAGAAATGTATAATGATTAGCTCTTCCCTTATGGAGGGCAATTGAAACTGAAATAATGATCATAGGATTATCGAAAGTAGTGTTACCCAGTTTACTGCTTGAATTAACATAAGACTTTTGCACATGACTTATCACTTAACTTGTAAAATCCACTTCTGTAGTTGGTCAAAATGTCAAATGGTATGACTTGTTTTTAAAGGTCTAGGTCATTTGTATTCATAAATAATAAGTAAGTATAAGCAAAGTTTATTTTTTAAGGTCACAACTGATACTGCTTTTTCCTTTTGAGGTAAATTTAGAGATATTTCCTTAATCACCTGTTGAATATGACTAATGAAAAATAAATAAGGATCCCAATAGAAATCTAGGCTGTTTTTAACATTTTAATAGCGGTTGTGACTAATTCAGTGATTATGTAGTTGTAATAATTATTACAATAAAAATAATAGATGTTAATACTAATAAGAACTCATCAAACAACTGGATTTAAACATAAAAGCCTAAGTGAAGAAAATAATTTATTTCCTAACAAAAAGACACATAATTAGAGATAAAATATTTGTGAGTGAGCCAGATAAGAAATGAAAGATAGCTTAGAATGAGAAAAACAAATTAATACTTTCTAAAAATTAATACACCTATAGAGTGCTATATACAAACATTTTTAAGAGCATTTTCACACATGCTGTAGTGTACCTTCGTACACTGACACCTATATAATTTTGTAAAACTGACACCTATATAATTTGTGAATCTAAAAAATTTTTCTTGTGTACTATACCATATAACTGTAAACATTTTTAGAGCCAATTTATAAATTTTTATTGCTACATATAAAAATTTATAGTATTTAATGGAATATGTCTTACCACACTATAATCAAATGTTTTTTTGAATTAAAAAATGAAAACCAATCCTGTTTTACTTAGTTTGATAAAGCACTTTGTTCATCACACTTGGATCCCAATAACTTTTAACTGTATGTAATGCCAATTTCTATTTTTAAAATGTAGGTAAGCCCTCATTTAGCCAAAGGAGTCCCTACAAGTTAGTAAAGAACCAGCATACAATAAACCTAGAGTTCCAGAAATGTTTGGAAGGATAGCAGCTTTACTAAAGTGCTCAGTTTTCCACAGGAGCTCCTTGGAAGTGATAGCTCCTGTTTGGATGCATTGATTCTGGTTGAGTTACATTCCATGCTTCATGTTTATCTATTTTATTTGTCAGAGAGGGCATTGCAAAATGTGGGTCTACCTCAACCTTACACATACAAGAGGTTCAATTAAAAATTAATTGAAACTTTGGACTGATTTTTCTCTAGCAAGTATTGTAAATACATGATGTCCAAATTTCTCAGCTCACTCACATAAAATGATTTCTGCCCATTTTATAATATGGTAAGAATAATTCAGAAGGGAGCAAGAAAAGGCAAGACAGGGGAAAGAACCTTCTTTCCCTCTCATGGGTGTAGGCCAATCTTTGGGGGAAAAATGGGAATTTCTGCTTTAGCCATTCGTTCTTACTGACCTTCCTGTGTCCCCATGCTACCTTGATCCGTTCCTCCCTTATGTGGTCCAGTTCTCACGTAATTCTGCCCTACCCTGAAGTACTCCCAATTTCAAAATTATCTATTTTTTTCTCTGATCTCCTTAAATTCAAACTCAGGAACAAAGCCATTTGACTAAAGGAATTCATACCAGTGGAAATGTCTGATAACCAACAAGCTTCCTTTGTAGGGGTATTTGGAATTTTTAAAGAGAGTACATTAATCCATACAACAAAATATGTTAGGCAGCATAATCTAATGAAAAAAAGAGTAGAAAAGGTTTTTTTTCTGTTTGTTTGTTTGGTTTTTTTTTTTATCTTGTTGTGGCTGTGAGTTTCTAAAACCTGTCTGGGGCTTGTTTGACCTTTGGATTCAGCTCTTCTAAGCTGTCCTGGCTTCTACAGCTGCCTCCTTTCCTTGTCACTGAATTCACAAATTCTTTGGAAGCTCTGTGTCTTTTAATTTATTGTTTTGTGTTGTAGATTTTTGGTTGGAGTGGCTATAGGGCCTCTGACAATGTAAGAGTTGATAGGAAGAGTGGTAACTGGATCATTTTCCAGAAGCTGCGTTTGTGTTTAAGGAGGATGCCACAAATGCTGTTTGAAAGTTTCACCTTCTTCTGCGTCAGTCTGTATCAGAACTATAACTAATAGCTAATATGTGAGGTTTTAAGGTTTGCTCTTCTACCTTTTTGTGCTTATTTTCTGTTGATCTGTAGAATAATCCAGAGGTGTAGATAGTAAGAAAATAACAATTAAACTATGTGGCATATCTTTCAGTTACACAAATGTTAGAATGGTTGGCAAGAATTGTCATTCTCTTTAACTGTAGAAGAAGCATTGTAGGGGAACTAAGTGAAGTAAAAACTAAAGTTTTCCTTTAAGTTATGGAGAGGTGTTAGATTATTCATTTATTTCTCTGTCCCTTCATTGTCTTTTTGAACTATTGATTGGAATGGTTTTTAAAAAGGCAATTTAGGAGGCATGTAAAGTTTATGTACTTGCTAGCTCATGTCAACTGTATATTTTAATATAGCTTTCTTGTATAAGCTAACAAAAGTCTCTATATTGAAAATAGAAAATCTGGGTTCTTCATGAGGGAATCACATTCTCTGAGCCATTGTAGCTCGTTATCATTAGTATAGGCGTAGAGTAGACATAAAAGTTTTTTGCATTTTTTGTGTATGTGGACGAGGAAAATTTACCATTCACACATTAAATCCCATATTTTTGGATATCTAGCTTTAAATGACTTGCAACATAAAAAACTTCACTCATCGATCAGACTGCACTGATTTGTATTTAGTGGTGTTGGGTTGAAACTCTAGAAACACACAGATTTCTTAGGCAGTGGCTTTACTTTGCTTTTTCTAATCACTATACTGGACCATTTGATTACTGGTATATATTTGTAGACTTTTTCTCAGAAAGATTGCTAGTCTCGTCTTATAATGGCGGCATATAAGTTGATGTGAAAACAATCACAGACCAATAAATAAGAATCACATGGGAGCACTTACATTATGAAATTAAAATGAAAAGAACTGGCTTGATAAAATAACTCATACCTCTGATTCAATCTCTTCATTTTAAAATATTGATAATTCTGAAAAATATTCTGGGTGGAAGTGTTCTATATCAAAGTTGCCATATGCTTAATCAGAGCCTAGCACATCTGTCTTTTTGTCTACATGACAAATACTGGTATACAGTACATTCCATTGAGTAAAGATCCCCAAGTTTTAATATTGAATATTCTTTATCTTTAAAACCCTTTACACATGATATTTCTTATATGTTTCTTAAAAAACAATCTTACTAATGGAAAGTACTACTTTTCTCCCCACCCCCCTTTTTTTTTTGCCACTGTTGCTTTATAGATATGCCCTTTCAGTAGTTAGTTTATAATAATTAGTAAACTCTTTAATCCCAGTGTGAAATTTTATTTTCAATTAATAAAATTACAGTTTTTCACAGATATCATAACAACCATATTCATTTGCCTGCAATACCATTTCATGTATAACTTTGAAATCAGATTTTTTTTAGATTTATTGATATTCATATGTAGTATATTAAAACAGAAAGTATGTTTTTAAAAGTAGTATCCTAGAATGTAGTATTAGTGGTATTTTCATATTATGGTATAAAGGCATTACTTTGTGAAATTCTTTTAATGATGCCATTAAAAGGTCTTCTGTAAAGGCTTGAAAGAGAATATTATTGAAAGTGGTCTTTTTTGGGGGAAGCTGAGTAAATTGACCCACTTCAGACTAAAAAAAAGGCATCCAAGCATGCCTAATCCTTATCAACTTTTATAAATTGAGACTATACATTTTGCTGCTGCATAATTTCAACTGATAGTCTATATACTCTTCTTAGATATATTGCTGCTTGATTTTCTACTTACTTTTTATTCATACAAATGTATTGCCTTTTTACTGTGTATTGTCCTTTGATGATATCTTTTAAAATTTATTTTAAAGTCTTCAAGCTCATGTATCATTTTTACCTTCTTATCACTTTCGCTTTTTACTGTCTGGTTTGTCCTTCATTGGCTTGGCCTTCCAATACTGTGCCTCGTGATTTTGAAGGCTACAGAAACTTGAGGAAAGCAATCGAGAAGAAAGAAGGTTGGAATATTTCCCAGGTTTTTTATTAAAATGTCGTTTAAATACTTAGTTGCCATTCACAAGGAAATGTGTTATAGTATTATAGATTGTTTCAGACTAGATAAGCTGGGCTGCTCCTAAAAGTAATGCTGATTTTATAAAACTAACAAGAACACTGTAATAAATTTTTAAGAAAATACTTTTTAAGAATAAAATCTTCACTAGATACTTGAATTAAAATTCAGGCAGTTTCATGTGATTACAGAATAAACTATGATAATTATGATGATGACTTACCTTTTGTAGGATAAAAATAACCCTAAAACCCCTGCCATTTGATTTATTAAAAAAAGAAAAAACAACAGTAATTCTTTGTCTTACAGAAACTTGTGAGCAGAGTGGAAATTGACATTTTGTTGTAGCACATGCTGAATCATGGGTGGGCCTCTGTCTCTCTCTTCTTTATTTGGTATAATCTTTACTGGAAAAAAAAATCATTAAAATGACAACAAACAAAAGGAAACTGTGGCCTTATTACAAATAAGATTTATAAGACATTCTTAAGGTTGAAATAGAAAAACAATTTTTGCTTTTAAAATGTATTTGAAGTGGACATCAAAAACAGGATAGTTGCTTTTTTTTCATTTGAAACGAGCAAAATTTAGAATAATATTCTTGATTGCATTTTACTGATTCAGAATTATGATTATTTAACCAAAGATAAGTGGTATTTTCCTTCTTATCAGAAGTTTTCTTCATAGATTTTCCTAAACAAATCTCTAGATTACATAGTCAAAATGATTAAGAAAATATACTAGTTTCAAGGTAATATTTAACTATTTTGGAAGCCCTACTTTAGACATTCATCTTTTACTTAAGAACTTGAGAACTTATACTATGCAATTAGTTAAATGAATATCTTACTTTAAATATCTTAAAGCTTAAAATGTTTTTCTTTAAATTACCTTATAATTTTTATTTTATAATTATATTTAGTATGTTATATAGTATTCTAAAGTTTTTATACTTACATGCCATAAGCCCATAGGTTCTTTAAAGTACTTAGGCTATAATTTTAATTTTTTATTGGTCATACTATAACTCACCTAAGCAATACATATTTAGGACAACATGTTTATTATTGGAATTAAGTTAAGGCATTAAAATTGTGAAATTTCTTCTATTCTGAAAGGTAAAAATAAGATGCGTCATTAAAGTTGTGTGTGGAAGCATTTAATCACCATAAAATATTCAAGTCCTTTAAATGTTCTCAGTGAAAGGAGTTTACTCCCATCTTTACATGATCCCTGAAGGACAGCAAAAGCAGAGTGGTTGGGTGGTTACAGAACAACTTCTCAAACATAGTCGTGTGTACAGATCTCCTAGGGATTTTGATAAAATGCAGATTCTGATTCAGTAGGACTGAGGTGGAGCCTGAGATTCTGCATAAGTAATAAGCTCCCAGGTGGTGCAGATGCTTCCAGTCTGTGAGCTGAACTTTGAGATGTTCTGGGAGTCAGGATAACTGGTTTTAGTTCTCTTGAGGGGATTCACTTCTCCAGGCCACAGTTCCCTTTTTGTTTGTCAAATGAAGGGGTTAATTGCTAATGTTCCTTCCAGCTCCCAAGCTTCTGATTCTATATAAAGCACAAATTTAAATATCTTCCATTGCTACTTAGATACTTATTTTAGATATCAATTTGCCTCGGTTTACTGAGGAAAACTTCAATATTTGAGGTATAAAAATTATAACTATCAACTTGTATTTTAAAAGTTTAAGCCTTTAAATTAATAATGTAAAGTTATGACTGCTGATTTTTCCACATCAGAAGTGGCACGAATGACTTATAATATATGAGTTAATGTAGAAGTGAAAGAACATTTAACTGGATATCAGTGAGTTGGAGCGGGGAGTAGAACGATATGTTGGGTCAAATGTTTGGAATAAGGTGGTTGTATGGCTGTAAACTTAAGTATAATGTGATTTGATTGGAACTTGAAGTAATACAAGAACAGAGAATAATGAAAACTGTATTCTGTAGCAGTCACAGGTGAGAAAGGGAGACTGCCCAGGAGAGGGAACTGGAAAGCCTGCTGGGAGATGTCTCCCTACAAATTGTCCTTTCCTAGCCCTACACCTTAGACCTAAACCTCAAGTATAGCACTGTTTGAGTACATGCTGCTGGCCTTTTAATTGATGATTGGATGAAAGGGGAATTTCTTTCTAGATTTTCATCTTGAACTGCATGATGGTGGAAAATCAGCAGTCCTAGTATATTATAAGCAACCTAAGAGAGACATTCAGTATATCACATAAAATTATTTCTTGTTTATCATAAGAGTTCTTTCTAGGTGGTTCCTACTTTTCTTCAAGCACATTTTTCTCCATCCAAATGATTTAACAACACTCATGGAACCCTGTTACAATTTACTTCATTCATTTCCAGTTAAGACTGTTGTATTGGTACTCCTACTTGTACTTTCTTCTCTCTCCGTATATATGCTGTCTCTCATGCATCTTTATGCATCTTTGAAACTGTACCATTCTGCTCCAACCGAGCTAGTGCATGAGACACATAGGCATGTTCAAACAGAGGTGCTCATGCATAGTCACAGGGATTGGTTTATTTAACAAACACTTACTTCACATTCATTATGTGCCAGGACCTGGGTACTAGGGATGTAATGCGGAGGCAAACAGACACGATCCCTTCCCTTAGGAAGCTGACTGCCTAGTGAGAAATACAGACACTAAATAAATAATAACATAAACATAAATGACAAACTCTGAAAAGTCCTTACAAGGGAAAAGTATTTATATTCATAGTGCTCAGTAGAAAAATATCTCTGAGAATAGAAACCTAGAGTTAATCATTAAAGTTATAGCTATAATAGGGCCTAAATGAGATTAAGTTTTTAGCCTAGAAGCTAAAAATCAATCCATGTATTAGGGAAATTATTTAATATAGAAGAATATATGAAAACATGATAGCTGTTATTAAGCTATTCTGATAAAGTTGTAAAGTTTTTTTTGTAGAGGAATTTTACTTTTAGAATATTGCATTATTTGAGTATTCTATTTATTTATTTTTTAAATTTATTGTAATTAATTAATTAATTTATTTTTGAGACAGAGTCTCGCTCTGTTGCCCGGGCTAGAGTGCAGTGGCGCAATCTTGCCTTACTGCAACCTCTACCTCCCGGGTTCAAGCGATTCTCCTGCCCCAGCCTCCTTAGTAGCTGGGATTACAAGTGTGCGTCACTATGCCAGGCTGTTTTGTATTTTTAGTAGAGACGGGGTTTCACTATGTTGGCCAGGCTGGACTCAAATGCCTGACCTCGTGATCTGCCCGCCTCAGCCTCTCAAAGGGCTTTTTAATGATTTTAAAATGCTACTATAGCACAAAAGGAAATAGTTCATATATAGATTCATTTAAAGTTCACTTAATGTTGTTTAGCTTAATTAAATATGTGAGTCTAGTGATCAATAGTGTAATTTCTGTGCATAGTTGATTGCTAAACCCACAAAGGATTCGAGTTATTTGGGTGTACGAAACTTCTCTCTTTTCCTCAGGGCCACCAGGGCTGAATTAATTTAGCTATAATCATTCCCTGGTATGTGTGTAGTTATGGCTGTAGGTACTAGGTAACTTAAGAGGAGAGCTTCCAATTATAAGGTGAATCTTGCGGCAGACCCTGAAATTTTCTATTCAATCAAAGGGCAGCCTGAACATTAGACAGTTTTTGGTATGCAAAGACACATTGTGTGAGACCATAATGAGAAGTAGCCTTGTGCTGTACGGGCAGCCTAAGAAAAAAGAGCCTGTGCCACTACCTGAAGGAGACCTGAAAATACTGATGGATATAGCTAGTGTAGACAAGCTTACTGTGGGCAGATTTAAACTGGAACTTTAAATTTACTCTTAAATGTATTAGGACATCAGTGAAAATGTAGTTTTTTATATCTTTGTATTTATATGAGAGAAGTTTTTTTGTATTCAGATGAGAAAACAAAAATGTTTGATTTCTTTTCAATTTAAATTGCCTTACATTCTAGTTAATTGGCTGCTACTGTGACTAGTTCTTAGGGGTGTCGAGGTCTCGTGCTTTCGGGCATAATCTATTCCTCAGTGTTTTCTGAAAATAAGCTTTTCTCCAGTGATATAAATCATTACACTGTTGATTGATTGGCAATTTCCATTTTTCTCTGAAGCATCAGATAGAATAGCTTTGCTCAGTTAAGTGACCAACATTTAAAGTTTGTTTTCACAAATCATTGATGGCTTCTAAAAATCTGAGGGAGAAAAAGTGAATAATTTTCCTTTCTATTTTAACACCATACCCTTATGTTCCTTTTTTTAGTGTGGCTGGTAAAGAGGATAATACAGACACTGACCAAGAGAAGAAAGAAGAAAAGGGTGTTTCGGAAAGAGAAAACAATGAATTAGAAGTGGTAAGTATGAAAGAATGAACTTGTCAGTTTTAGTCACCAGGTTTGGTTGTTCTTGGTTGATGATAACTTACTAACTTACTTGTAGAAAAGTGAACTGCTTATGATGCATTCTGTTTAATCTATTTCTTTGAAGATGTTTCTTCAGAGATACAAGCTATAAAATATTGACAACTCTCAATCTTATGTATTGTGAAAGCATTGTGTTGGGGAGTCAGGGGTAGAATACTATGAGAGATGAAATACTTTTTGATTTAAGACAAAATTACTCTGTAATAACCTTAACATTTTTATACTGATGACAAGTGAATTTTTTTATGTTTCCGTACTTTGTACTCCAGCAGCCTCTCTCAATGAGGGAGTCAGTTTGTTTTGCCAATATTGTGCTATTAATTTTTACAAATCACATTTTAGGAAGAAAGTCAAGAAGTGAGTGATCATGAGGATGAAGAAGAGGAGGAGGAGGAGGAGGAAGATGACATTGATGGGGGTGAAAGTTCTGATGAATCAGATTCTGAATCAGATGAAAAAGGTACTTGCCCTTTGGTATAAGGGCAAAAATTCATTTTGGGAAGTTGTTTAAACCATGACAGAAAACTCTTAACATTCTCTATTTCATACTTGATGAAAGAAACTTCTGTGACCACTGACCTACATTTGCCTTCCAAGGCTTATGTGCTAAACAAATGAGTTACTTCTCTTACTGGATTTAGTCATTGTGTGATTTCCATTCTTACCTAATACAAATAGCATTGTCCTTGACCAAAATGAACACTCTTTATCTCATTCACCTTTTGGTTGTTGGTTTTTCCAGGAAATTTTTCTAATAACTACTAAGTGAATAAAAATACCTAGTTGATGGTTTTTATGGTCTGCTTGAAAGCTAGAATTCTGATATTTTGGCCTAGCACCAGGATTTTTATTTTCTTCTTTTATAAATAGCCAATTATCAAGCAGACTTGGCAAACATTACTTGTGAAATTGCAATTAAGCAAAAGCTGATTGATGAACTAGAAAACAGCCAGAAAAGACTGCAGACTCTGAAAAAGCAGTATGAAGAGAAGCTAATGATGCTGCAACATAAAATTCGGGATACTCAGCTTGAAAGAGACCAGGTGCTTCAAAACTTAGGTAAGAATTATATTTAATTCAAATGAAAGTTCAAGCTAAATCTTCAAAATGGGTTTTTATCTTTTCCTTTAGAAGAAAAAAAATAGAAGCCGTATTAAACCCTTTTTTGTTATTTATTTGTTTTGTTTTTGCAAGTCAAAGTTTGTGCCTTTTATTTAAAAGTTATATGTAGCTTGTAAATACTTTTTGGCCACATTATATGTTAATTTGTCTCATAATGTTAAATATTGTTATTTGTTTTGTTTTTTCATACCGATATCTGCCTAGGCTGTTTACTTACTTTATACAAATTTATGGTTGTTTTAATGTTTTGATTTATGTTGGGGACATTTTAACATAACATATTAATAAATAAGCTTCAATAATCATTAAACAGGTTAAGAGTAGATAATAAAAGAGAGAATGATTGAAAGACACCCTAGTCTTCTGAGATGTGGGTGTTTGGGAAGTAGCTCTTCTCTTAGGATATGGACTGTAAATCTGTGAAATAAAAATCTGTGTCTCACAAAAAAACATATAAAAATGTCCTCTGGTCATTTAGGCTCGGTAGAATCTTACTCAGAAGAAAAAGCAAAAAAAGTTAGGTCTGAATATGAAAAGAAACTCCAAGCCATGAACAAAGAACTGCAGAGACTTCAAGCAGCTCAAAAAGAACATGCAAGGTTGCTTAAAAATCAGTCTCAGTATGAAAAGCAATTGAAGAAATTGCAGCAGGATGTGATGGAAATGAAAAAAACAAAGGTATTGATTATTTTTTTCCATTAACGTTTGATGTTCAGTATGATTTTGTCATTTGGGACAAAAAATAAACAACTCTTGTGGTTCTTTCCATATTCGATAAAGGTAACCCAATCTTACAAATGATGTAATTTCCTTTGGCAATTAGAAGTTGTTTCTAATAGTCATTCCTCATCCAAGCCTTTCTTCAGAGTAGCTGAAAATCATGTGCTCATCAGGGCTTCTTAGACATTGATAGGTATTTCTTCTCTTAAAACTCTTATGCAAGCTTAACAAAAGTATAAAATATTTCAAATATGCAAGAAAGCATACATAATAACAAACACTGTATCCACAGTCTAGTTTAAAATATTAAGCATTACAGATATACAGTAAGCCTTCTGTTTATCTCTTCCTGATCATATTCCCCATTCTCCAATAGCTAATAACTGTCTTAAATTTAGTGTTTATAATTCCTATACTTAGAGAAGCACTAATTTTCTTCCCCTGTCCAAAGAGAGTGTGCAAATCCTGATCTGTTATCTGTTTTTGATTAATTATTCTTTACATCTTTCATGAAAGTCAGTGTAGTTTTCTTAAAATAACAATAAAATAGCAAATATGGAAGTGATTTAGAAAGTATAATCATGCATTGCTTAATGATGGTACATTCTGAGAAATGCATTTTTAGGTGATTTCATTATTGTGCAAACATCATGGAGTGTACTTATACAAACCACGATGGTATAGCCTACTACACACCTAGGCTATGTGGTATAGCCTGTTGCTCCTAGGCTACAAACCTGTACAGCATGTTACTATGCTGAATACTCTAGGCAATTTTAACACAATGCTAAATATTTGTGTATCTAAACATATCTAAACATAGAAAAGGTATTGTAAAAAATACAGTAAAAAAGATAAAAAAATGGTACACTTTTTTTTTTTTTTTTGAGAGGGAGTCTCGCTCTGTTGCCCACCTCCCAGGTTCAAGCAGTTCTCCTTTCTCAGCCTCCCCAGTAGCTGGGACTATAGGTGCACACCACCATGCCCAGCTAATTTTTGTATTTTTAGTGGAGACAGGGTTTCACCATATTGGTCAGGCTGGTCTCAAACTCCTGACCTCAGCTGATCCACTAACCTCGACCTCCCAAAGTGCTGGGATTAAAGGCATGAGCCACTGTGCCCAGCCAAAACTTGTATACTTTTACAGGCATTCCTGATTTTACTGTGATTTGCTTTATTACCCTTTGCAGATATTGCATTTTTTACAAATTGAATGTTTGTGGCAACCCTGCCTTGAGGATGTCTGTTGGCACTATTTTTCCAACAGCATTTGCTCACTTCATGTCTCTGTCAGCATGTTTCTTTTAACAATTAAGTTTTTTGATTAAGGCATGCACATTATTTTTTTAGACATGATGCTATTGCACACCTAATAGACTACTGTATAGCATAAACATAACTTTATATGCGCTGGGAAACCAAATAAATTTGTGTGACTTGCTTTAATGTGATATTCACCTTTTTGCGGTGCTCTGGAACCAAACCTGCAAGGTCTCCAAGGTATGCCTGTAAGGTATGCGACTTACCATGAAGGGAGTTTGCAGGACTGTAAGTTGCTCTGTGTGAGTCAGTGAGTGAATGGTGAATGAACGTGAAGTCCTAGGACATAGCTATACACTGCTGTGGACTTTATCAATACTCTACACACTTAAGCTACACTAAATTTATTTTAAAAACTCTCCTCAGTGATAAATTAACCTTGGCTTACTGTAATTTTTTTTATTTTATAAATATTTTAAGTTAAAAAACTTTTTGACTCTTTTGAAATATCACAGTTTAAAACACAAATGCACTGTATAGCCGTACAAAAATATTTTTTCTTTATATCATCATTCTGTAAGCTTTTATCTATTTTAAGTTTTTATATTTTTTACTTTTTAAACTTTTTTGTTAAAACTAAAACACAAACATGCACAATAGCCTAGGCCTATGCAGAGTGAGGATCATCAATATCACCGTCTTCACCTCCCCATCTTGTCTCACTGGAAGGCATTCCGGAGCATTAACACACATGGAGCTGTCATCTCCTATGATAACAATGCCTTCTTCTTAAATATCTTCTCAAGGGCTTGCCTGAGGCTGCTTTATAGTTAACTTTTTTTTTCATAAGTCCAAAATATCTATAAAAAGTATAGTATAGTAAATACATAAACCAATAGCATAGTCATTTATTATCCTTATCAGGTATCATGGACTATACATAATTGTGTGGACTATACTTAATATGACTAGCAGCACAGTAGGGTTGTTTATACCAGCACTACTGCAAACGGGTGTAGTGCTTTGTAATGTGATGTTATGACATTATTACATCACTAGGCAATAGGAATTTTTTAGCTCCACTATAATCTTATGAAACCACTGTCTTAAGTGTGGTTCATTGTTGAGTTAAATGTTATGAGGCACATAACTGTCATTTGATTATTATGTTGTGTAGTTGCTGATAACAACAGTAGCTAAAATTATTAAGTGCTTATCAAGTTGTTGAGAATTCAAGTGCCAGGTACTGTTAAAACGCTGTGTGGGTGTTAACTGGTTGAATTCTCACAAAAATCCAATGCTGTGGAAATATTATTTCCATTTTATAGATGAGCAAACCAAAGCCTAGAGAGGTAAAGTAATTCGATCAAGGTCACACAGCTACTGATAGTAAGCTAAGTATCAAGATTTCAAGTTGCAGAACAACTGAATATTGAATACAAAAAGCATAGAATACTAAGCAATTTAATAAAAATGTATTAGAAATAGAAATATATGAATCCCACAGAAATAAGAATTGCCCACTTTAAACGTGCAGCAAAACTGCATGTTTCCATGTTAAGTATTCAGAATTCTAAGAACTTACTTCCATATATGTGGTTGATTTAATGAATGTTGTGACAGAGTAATTTCAATAGATGTCTATACCTAATTGGTTAGGTTCGCCTAATGAAACAAATGAAAGAAGAACAAGAGAAAGCCAGACTGACTGAGTCTAGAAGAAACAGAGAGATTGCTCAGTTGAAAAAGGATCAACGTAAAAGAGATGTAAGTGGATTTTAACTCTCAGTTATATAAGAAAATTGTACGTTGAAAAAGATTGTTTAATAAATGGAGGAAAAATTTCTGGTAACCATAACTACTAATTGCAGGTTAAGGACAATAGATAAGCATACACTTTATAAAATGTCATTTATTACAGTATGTGGATTATGGTAATTCAGTATAAGAGTTCATAAAAAACACTGTAATATTATATATTTTATTTGAGGCTTATTTTCCAGATGATGACATAGAAGTAAATGGCAAGAATGACTGGTTATCTCTAGGATGACCAAGGAACTAGTTGCAGTATTATATAAGATAGCAAGTTTAGGATGGTTCTGAAGAATGTTTTATCACTAGAGGTACTTATAAATAATCCTAGAGTTAACAACCAGCCCTTATTAGAAGAGGCTTTTCTAAGGACTATCAAAATTTTTGTATCCTTTGACTCAAGATTCTACTTCCATGAATTTAGATGAAGAAAATAATGTAAAACAAGTAAAAATACTATGCATCAAAATCTTCACTGTAGGATTCTTTGTAATTGTGAAAAAAGTAAAAACAACCAAGATCCCTGACAGTAGGAGGAATGGTTAAAGAAATTATGGTACATTCCATTTATATTTTGAAACTGTATACTTATCTGAAAAATGACCATGCATTAAGTGTAAAGCATGGTCATTTTACAAATAAATGTATGCTTGATTTCAATGAAGGAAAATTCAAAGGATACATCTCAACGTGCTAATTGTAGTTGTGTTAGGGTTATAAGTTATGGTTGATTATTTTTCTTCTTCTTTCCAAAATTTTGGCAATGTGATTATTTCTTTTAGGTGAAAAATTATAGTTATGATTTTTTTTTTCTTAAAAGAAGAAGCTGGGTGCAGTGGCTCATGCTTGTAATCCCAGCCAGCACTTTGAGAGACTGAGGCCGGAGGATTGCTTTGAGCCCAGGAGTTCTAGACTAGTCTGAACAACAACACAGCAAGACTGCCTCTTTGAAAAAGAAGAGGCCATCACTTTTTCCCTTATTATTGGTTAGGTTTCAGCCATTATTCCTTTTTACTTGCTGAACTTTTCCTAAATCCTCCCTGGAAAAATACGAGCATAAAGCATATTTTAGAAAATGGAAATTTATTTTGGAATGTAAAGAGGAAAGGGGATAGAGAAAAGGGGGGTAGTGAGGTAGAAAAGTGGATAGCGGATATTTTGTCCAGATGACTCCCCTATTTTGGTTATGTTTATTTCTTTTTTTCTCCTACAATGTCAGTGTATTTTAATAATCAGTGTATTTGTCACAGTTAATTCCTGGGCATTTAAAATTGTGTTTTTATCGATTTGTTCCTACTGAAATCAAGTAGAAGCACATTCTAACATATTGCCTATTCTTTTTTTGTTATTGTTTTAAAAGTTGAGATATAATTAACTTATCCTAAAATTTACCTTTTAAAGTGTACAATTCATGTTTTTAGTATATTCACAAAAGTGTGCAATGATCACCACCATCTAATTACAGAAAATTTTCATTACTCCAGGAATATACGCTATACCCATTGGTAGTCACTCACCATTGCCCCGGCCCCTGGCAGCCACTAATCTACATTTTGTCCCTGTGGACATTGCATATAAATTGAATCATACCAGATGTGGCCTTTTGTGTCTTGATTTTTTTTTTTTTTTTTTTTTTTGAGACAGAGTCTTACTTTGTCGCCCAGGCTGGAGTGCAATGCATGATCTTGGCTCACTCTAACCTCCGCCTCCCAGGTCCAAGCCATTCTCCTGCCTCAGCCTCCTGAGCAGCTGGGACTACAGGCATGCACCACCACACCTGGCTAATTTTTGTATTTTTAGTAGAGATGGGTTTTCACCATGTTGGCCAGGCTGGTGTCAAACTCCTGACCTCAAGTGATCCGCCCCGCCTCGGCCTCCCAAAGGTGTGAGCCACTGCACCCAGCTGTGTCTGGCTTCTTTTATTTAACACGATGTTTTCAAGGTTCAGCCATGTTATAACATGTATCAGCACTTCATTCTTTTTTTATGGTTATATAGATAGAATATGTTTTGTTTGTCCATTCATCAGTTGATAGACGTTTGGGTTCTTTCCATTTTTTGGCTGTTTATTTTATATTTAATGAAAACCTTTGAACAACGGGAATAATTTCTTTACAGTGTATGCTACCTATTTCTTTATTACTAATTCATATAAGATAAGGGAGACCAATACTGAACTCCTGGGATGAACTTTTTGAATCTTTTCCATAACATGTGATGCCTATATTCTATTATAAAGACACAATGCTGGCTAGTCACATATAAAGCTAACATTCATACTCCCTCTCCCTTTTATTTGTTGCCTTGTGTACATATTGACCTCCTTTTAAAATTGTTCCTTGTTATATTCATCTTTGAACCCTTAGAAAGTTCAGGGTGACATTTATATACCATATAAAAATATGAATGAGCTTGAGATTTGGTTTTTAATAGGAAGAAATTTAATGTAACAAGTTTGAAACTATATGATAATTTTAATTTCTGATAATTCATTAATTAAAAAACATATTAATTTTGCTTTTATATCAGTCACTGTGGTAGGCAATTAAGATATGGCTGTGATAAGATAAAGTCATTTTCTCAAGGAATTCCCATCTGATGAGACAGAAATATACATAAACATAAAATGAATGATCTGTTTGAATTTGAATGCAAAACACGAGTGATTATTTGTTAAATAACAGAATTTAAGTACTAGAAAGGAAGTTTGTAGTGAACTGTCATTCTTAAACTTTGTCCAAGATCACAGAATTGAATAAATGATAGAACTGGAATTAAGACCTAAGTTCTTTCTTTTTTCTTTTGTTTTCTTTTCTTTCTTTCTTTCTTTTTTTTTTTTTTTTTTTTGAGATGGAGTCTCACTGTGTCCTCCAGGCTGGTGTGCAGTGGCACAGTCTTGGCTCACTGCAGCCTCTGCCTCCTGGGTTCAAGCGATTCTCCCACCTCAGCCTCCCGAGTAGCTGAGATTGGAGGCACGTGCCACCATGCCTGGCTAATTTTGTATTTTTAGTAGAGACAGGGTTTTGCCATGTTGGCCAGGCTGGTCTCGAACTCCTGACCTGAAGTGATTCTCCCACCTTGACCTCCCAAAGTGCTGGGATTACAGGCATGAGCAACCACTCCTGGCCTCTGGTTCTTTTTAAGTCCAATTTTTTTTTTTAAATTATATGCCTGTAGAATGGCTTGAAGTAATCCTAATTAGTCATCTTTATTTTGAGAGTACCTAGAAACAAATTAATAGTCAGTGCAGACATATTTTATTGTCCATTTACTTTATCCACCATAAGATCCATAGTTATTATAAGTACTAATCAAATTAATATATATTCCTCCTATGTCTACAACAGTTTATAATTATTGTATATATTATAAGATGACTCTATTGAAAATATTCTAAGCTTTGTTTCTTCCTGTTTGTACCTCAAACAGCAACTAAAACAAAATATCTAACAAAATTAAATAAGATAACATTTGTAAAGCATTTAGAAAAGTACTTGCACATAGTAAGCACCAAATGTATCAAATTAAAGTATGTAACACAGAGATAACCTTTCATTTTTTCAAAAAGGGATGGGGTATATCTGTATTTATTTGTGTTTGTTGGAATAAAATAGCTGTACCTGTAATAATATATACAAGGTTGTTGACTCAAAGATTCTGCTAAGAACTCATAGTTCCCAGGGGTATGGGGAAATATATTCATATAGGAATAGGAAATATTGTATCTTTCACTTTACTATTTCCACTTATTTAATATTATTTTATAGCATCAACTTAGACTTCTGGAAGCCCAAAAAAGAAACCAAGAAGTGGTTCTACGTCGCAAAACTGAAGAGGTACAGTAAGCAAGCTGACCATTTGGAAGAAACCTTCTGACTTTGAGATAAATGATGTATTTCTATAGACTAAGAGAATGAGTCAACCTTTGCTGCAATTTCAGGTTACGGCTCTTCGTCGGCAAGTAAGACCCATGTCAGATAAAGTGGCTGGGAAAGTTACTCGGAAGCTGAGTTCATCTGATGCACCTGCTCAGGACACAGGTTCCAGTGCAGCTGCTGTCGAAACAGATGCATCAAGGACAGGAGCCCAGCAGAAAATGAGAATTCCTGTGGCGAGAGTCCAGGCCTTACCAACGCCGGCAACAAATGGAAACAGGTCTACATAATTCTGTTCCTGCTGATGTAATCTTCTTGGCCGTTAATACTGAATGTTGTACTTAAATGAAAAAATGGCTCATTATTTGGCAGTGCACAATCAAATAAGTGCATAAGTAATTGAGCTTGTCTGTTTTATATGATTATAGGAAAAAATATCAGAGGAAAGGATTGACTGGCCGAGTGTTTATTTCCAAGACAGCTCGCATGAAGTGGCAGCTCCTTGAGCGCAGGGTCACAGACATCATCATGCAGAAGATGACCATTTCCAACATGGAGGCAGATATGAATAGACTCCTCAAGGTGTGGAAAATAGAGAGTAGATACGCTCCCCCTTAGCTAACTGTTAATTTTACTCTTCCAATTTTGTTCCCTGGGTAAATTTAACACTTACCAAGTTTTTTTTGGGGGGTGGGGGGGTTTGATGGTACTGTATATAAATAAGTGAACATAATTTCTTAAAATCCAACCTGCTTTCTCAATAGCAACGGGAGGAACTCACAAAAAGACGAGAGAAACTTTCAAAAAGAAGGGAGAAGATAGTCAAGGAGAATGGAGAGGGAGATAAAAATGTGGCTAATATCAATGAAGAGATGGAGTCACTGACTGCTAATATCGATTACATCAATGACAGTATTTCTGATTGTCAGGCCAACATAATGCAGATGGAAGAAGCAAAGGTTTGTAATTTTTAAAAAAGCGTAATGGTTTAATGAAAAGTACTTTTGTATTGTTTATTGTTCAAAGCACTTTCAGTTTTTACATGAAGGTATTTTCTATTTCCTGGTCTAATCTAATGCTTAGGTTTTACATGTATGCCACTTCCTGCTTGCTTTTCAGATTTCTCTGCTGATTGTGTGATAACATTTGTTGTTTATATAACACATGGGTCATCTTTACATCCCACCTTGAATTCTTAACTGCTTAAATGTGTCTTTTCAACTAAACCCTATGTTTCTTGGGGTAATGATCATATATTGCACTTATCTGAGCATCTCATTAGCTAACCCAATACTAGGAAATAAATATGTGAAACAATAGGCTGTTGCCTTCTGTTTTCAGCTCAAAGTAATGGTCATCATATTATGCTGATTTTATACAGGAAGAAGGTGAGACATTGGATGTTACTGCAGTCATTAATGCCTGCACCCTTACAGAAGCCCGATACCTGCTAGATCACTTCCTGTCAATGGGCATCAATAAGGTAAGATACAACCACACTGTTACTGAAAATCTAAGTTTTGACTAATTCATTGTAGTTTTATTTATCTTTCTGTAGTAACCCTTTGCTTTGTAATAAGGAAGAAGATTATTCATAATTGGAAAGTATTTCTTTTACCTTTCTTTAGAGTCAGGAAGAGTAAGAAATATTTAGATCAATTTCATTAGCATGTTATCCATTATGTTTGTTTATTAGAGCAGATAAACAACTTAAAGAAGAAATAATTCCCCTTTTGCTTTAACAAAGGAAAAATTAGAAGAAATTTCTCAGCATGCAAACAAATTTGGTATCATAACTAATTTAACATTGATTCTTTACAGATCAAAAGCAAATCAGAAAAGAAAAAATAATTTAATCATTCTCTTATTTTGAATGTAAATGCTCTAATTTGTCACCTGTAAGAAAACCGTGCCCAAATGTTGAAGGTGATAATGGTTTCTGACTCACTTTTTTTTTTTCCATGTTGGGACTGTTAGATTCTTTCTGTTCTTATGCCATCTCACTTAATTTTCACAATGTGCTAAGAGGTAATTATTATTGATCTCATTTTGCATATGAGGAAACTGAGAATCCAGAAGATAACATCTTGGACAGGTGAACTTGTACATGATCACTAAGCCAGTTACTGGAGGAGCTGGGATGACTCGAGGTCTATCTGATGTCAAAACCCATATATCATATTCATTTGCTGTTTGATACAGATCTTTGTGTGGTAGATCCTGTTTCGTATGACCTAAGATAATTTTTTGTTGTGTTTCAGGGTCTTCAGGCTGCCCAGAAAGAGGCTCAAATTAAAGTACTGGAAGGTCGACTCAAACAAACAGAAATAACCAGTGCTACCCAAAACCAGCTCTTATTCCATATGTTGAAAGAGAAGGCAGAATTAAATCCTGAGCTAGATGCTTTACTAGGCCATGCTTTACAAGGTAATTTGCTCTCAATTTTAGTTGAATGAATTTGCATGGTAGCTTTGCTTTTTGAACATGGTATAGTATATCCCTTTCCCCTATGGCTTGACTGAATAGATGCTATATTTACTCATGCTTTTAATAATTATTCTTTCTTTAATTTGCATGTGTACATTTTGGCGAGGTAATTATTGTCATTCCAAGAAATGGTTACCAACTTAAAATGGCTTACTTAACCTTATTGAGCAATTAGTTTTTATGGGCAAAGAAGACCAATCAAGTTTTCGTATTGGTTATCTAAATTACTTAAAATAGTAACCAAGTTTCATTACTTTACTCTGCGTATCTCACTGCCTTAAAAATAAACTTATAAGTGTTTGCTATGGCATCTATTCTACATGTAAATGGTACATAATCTTGTTTTATGTGGGAGTTTTTAACATTGGATCTGTTTTGATTGGAGTATTGCTTTTTGTTTCCTTTTTGCTGTTATTTACACAGATCTAGATAGCGTACCATTAGGTAAGTATGTTTAGCTTTCTGTGTATCCTACAGCTGCATGAATTACTAATTGTTCATGTACACTAATTGTGGTACATCTTATTTTAAAGATTTTTATTGGCGGTCAAGTGGTTTTTGCATGATCTTTTTTGAAATGTATCCATGCCCACAAACACACTAAGTCTTTTATTAAACATTCCTGATTTTAAAATCCTTAGATGTTTAAAGAAGTATGCTTTTGTTAGTTGTCTCTTTTATTATCTGAGTTCCAGTTGTGCCTCCAGTTTCATAAACCCCCTGTGTTCTTTCTCTTCCTTATAGAAAAACATAATATTTATGTTCCGTTAAAATTTTTAAATATATCTATTAACGTACATCTATGGTTTTAACCTCATAAATAACTTTCTTCTGTATATATCTTTGGTATATATATATATACTTATCTGTTTTATTTTTGTAAATTTAAGCACACACTTTTAAATATTGTAAACTGAACAAAACTATCCAAAGGATTTTACCTGAACAGGTTGAAACAATATTGGTCAGGCTATTCAAGTACCTGGCATTATAACTAGCACTTTTGCATTCCATGTGTTATCAAGCATGTTTCTTTGCCTCCTCCTTCCTCTGTCCCTCTCACTCTTCCTCTCCCTCCCTCTCTTGCTTCTCCTCCCCAGTCCGTCCTCCTCTTCTTTCCCTCTTCCTCTTCTTTTTTTTATTGTACTTTAATTTATTGTGTTCCTCCTTCTTTCTCTCCTCCTCCTCTTCTTCTTTATCTTTCTCCCCCTTCTTCATCTTTCTCCTCCTTCTTGTTCTCCTCCTCCTTCTCTTTGTTCTTAGTGGCTCAATTCATAGAAATATATGCTGTCTTTTAACTTGAAAGATAAATTGTTTGATGTCTTTATGTGCAGAAGAATATTAAATTGCTAATTTGATGAGCAGTGTCTCTGTTTTCCAACTTTCAAACAAATTTCAATTTTCTATAGCTTGAAGGGTCAGAAGCAGAGAGTAGGAACTCATTCAGCTAATGTATCCTATGACTCATGGCAGAAATTTGCCCTAGGGACTGGGGCTCTCTCTAGACGAAAGGAGCTAAATAAAAAGCATGAGATGAGAAAACAATGAAATTTAAACCCACAGAAGCTAGAAAGTTATAGGTACATTGCTTTAAAAATCATTTAGTTGTTCTCCAGTTTTATCACAATCATTGGGCTGGATGCTGGGATTCAAAGATGAGTGAGATGCTGATTTTGTCCTTATGGACTTGATGCCCTACTGAGGAGGAGAGACTATGAACAGATTATGATATATTGCAGTGAAGGCAATGATTGAGATCTGTAGAGTTATGGGAGCACAGAGTGGGACTACCTAACAAGAATGAAGGAGTTAATGAAGGCTTTCTGGAGGAGATGACATTTAAGCTAAAACATAGTGAAGAAGAGTTAGTCAGGAAAAAGACAAGGTTGAATTGGGGCCAGAGAGTTGCTCCAGGCAGAGGGGCAGCAAAAGCTAAGGCATAGGAATTTAGCCACACTTTTGTGTGCCTGAGGCCTACAAACAGGTTGATGCTCCAGAGCAGCAAGTTCATGACATGGAATGAGGGAACTGAAGGGTAGAGGATGAGCCAGGGCCAGCGCCCCATGCTCACAGGGTTGTACTTTTGTAGCCTTTAAAGAACATCCTTATTTTTCTATATCTGTGTTGGGATCCCCACGGTCACCACTATCATCAGAGATTTGCTAGAAGACTCAGAGGGCTTAGCATATGGTTGTATTCATGACTAAGATTTATGATATCAATGTTCATAAAGGGAAAAGACACAGATGGACTCTGGAGGAATCTGTATCCAGGCATTTGTATCTCTCTCCCTACGATAAGAGTTCACACAGAGTGCTTTCTTTCTCCAGAACAAAAAACGCAGCAATATTTGTGCAATGTTTATGTCCAGGAAAGTCCAGTAGATGCTCAGTGCCCCAGGGTTTTACTGGGGGGGGTGACATATGTACCTTCTGTCAGTCTAGACTTCCAGAAGGAAAGCAAGTGTTCAGCATAAGCCATATTATTTGCACGAAGTTTCTAGTGCACCGTGAGCCACTTTTATTGGCTAACAGTTGACTGGGAACGCTCTGAGAGCTGTTTTTAGATGTCAGCCAAAGTCCAGTTTTCCAAGCAGGCCTTTCTAAGGACGGCGGTCTCAGGGGCTGCAATGTTAAATTTTTAAATATATAATTAGTATACAGAAGCTATATATATAAAAAACTTTTTAAAAGAATAACTTTAAAGGAAGACTTTTAAAAATCCAACTGTTTGGTTAACTTCCAGTGAAGTGAGACTGTGAAACTTTACAATGATATAGATTAACTTTAGGGTATTTGGGAGTTTTGTTTTGTCTTTGGCTTTAAAGCTATTGTGATAAGAAAAGAAGCTAACCTTGGGCTAGAGTTGTGTTCTCAGAGTTGAGAGTACAACAGTGAGTTGTTTGTGTGTCCTGCTGCCCAGGTAACCATAATGCTTCAGACCAAACTTGGTCCTGAAGAGGGCCTGAGTTGGTGACCATCTGAGTGAGATCCTCTGGGCTCTGGCCAGACTGGTTCTGTCAAGACACCATTATCTCTAACTAAGGCATACAGGCATAAGCAGGAGTTAAGAGCTTTTTACGAAGCACTTGCATGATGTTTAACATTTAATTTCATCACACTGTGCAAGAAAAATACTAGCAAATCTTAGCCTGCTGTTAAAACACATGGAAAACAGAGGCTAGGTTTGTCATTTCTTTATAACATAATTTTCTATGTTACTGACTAATTCAGTACCTTAGAACTCAGTTATCTTTTCTGTGAAGCAAGTCCTTGAGCCTCCCTCTAATGAGATACATATTGCCTTCAAAATCACCATTTTTTTCACTTCAGAAAGTAAACCCCTTTGAGTGAGTCCTAGATATGATTCTATTTTAGGTAATAATACCAAGTATTACTGAACAATGAGAAAGGAAGAGAACATTTGTGGAGAGAAATGAATCAATTGACTAATGGTGCCATAGCCTACCTGTATTATATAAAATTAAAAATTAAAAGGGGATGAACCCTATATATTTTTCTTTAATGTATATGTTGCTCATAATTTTGTCTTTAGATTTATTGAATGATTTTTATAATAAAATATACATTAAAAAAACCTACACCTATGTTAGGGGCTCGCTGGCATTTTAAGTCGTTTACTTTCTGTGGCTGTTTTATTTACTGACTTCCTAACAGTTTTATATGTTTAATTCTTCTCCCTTTTCACTAGTCTACTACAGTTGTTCTGAAATAGCAGTGGTTTATTTGTATTAGTTTACAGAGCTGTTGCATGCAAGCCTATTGTTTTTGTCTTCTGTGTTCATGTGAATGAGCTGCATGCTGATGTGTGACTTCTGAACACCCTCATGCACACCTTCTCTCTGTATGTAGGCAAAAATACAAAAATTAAAAAAGGAAAAATATTCAAGTACATTGGCATAACTGATAAAGTATAACAACTATATTTACACTTTATGTAGTATTCTTGGTTGACTCAGTACATTAAAGGAGGCTCATGTAGCATTTACTTTATATTTTTAAACAGTGGATTATTGTATGTTTGGATGGTACAGGATACGTACATGACTCTTCAGTATTCATATGTACCCATCTCATTCAGAAGGATGTTACTCTTCTACAGTTTACCATTCAAAGTCATGGTTTTCCTATTTGAACATGTTTTACTCATTCTAGAACACACAATCAAAGGAGAGTTTTTAGAAATACTTTTCTACAATTCTGTCTATTTAGATTCAGCTACTAAAACCATCGTGCCCATATTGAGATGTTGAGCTGTTGTTTATTACAGCCTATGGATTGCAGTCACCATTCAAACTGTGACATGGGGATAATGCTTACATTTTAAACATTTTTTTGTAGAAAATGTAGAGGATAGTACTGATGAGGATGCTCCTTTAAACAGCCCAGGATCAGAAGGAAGGTAAGAAGGCCTTTAGAAACAATAGAGTTGACTTATTTACATATTTTAAATACTTTCATCTTGTATCAAACAATTACCATAAAACAGAAATAATTTTCAATCTAATGGCCTAGTGAATAGCACTTAGAAACAGTAAATAGAAACCAAGTTAAGTCATGCTTAACTATCATAAATTTTAAAATGAAAATATTGAAATATTTAAGGAACATAAATGAATTATTTTTAAATTAATTCATTTTGACTTTAAATATTGTCTTTCTGTATTTCCCATAGGCATATAAATTTTTTGTAGTCGTTGATATAGAGGAGCTATAGTTTTCTATAATAATTTTCTATTTAATCTTGTGCTTAATTATTTATTTGCACATAGCACGCTGTCTTCAGATCTCATGAAGCTTTGTGGTGAAGTGAAACCTAAGAACAAGGTAAGGAGAACTAAAAGTATCAGGTAAACATGTTTTACACCATTATTTGTTATCACTATTTAACACATAGGTTCAGATTTGACTCTTAATAGATTAGCAAGAGGGCATGGTTTTACTAAAGCTCTTCTTTATTTAGTTTTTTTAATCATATTTCCCTTTAAGTGGTAACTGAAAAAATTTATATTAAAAAATTTCTCTGGCCAGATACGGTGGCTCATGCCTGTAATTCCAGCACTTGGGAGGCCAAGGCGGATGATCAGGAGGTCAGGAGATGGAGACCATCCTGACTAACACGGCGAAAACCCGTGTCTACTAAAAATACAAAAAAAAAAAAAAAAAATTAGCTGGGCGTGGTGGTAGGTGCCTGTAGTCCCAGCTACTCGGGAGGCTGAGGCAGGAGAATCTCTTGAACCCAGGAGGTGAAGCTTGCAGTGAACCGAGATCGCGCAACTGCACTCCAGCCTGGGCGACGGAGCGAGACTCCGTCTCAAAAAAAAAAAAAAAATTCTCCTTGGTGGAAATTGGGCTTTACTGTATTCTTATATTTTTCCCACTAGATAACACAATTATGGAGGGTGATTCTTAAGCTGCTGATTAACTAAATTGTAGACTCTGTAGTGGCATACAATCTCAGTCATTTAGATTGGCAGGAGATTTTTAAAATTTTAGCATTCTAGTGTGTTCTTAAGTGTTTCTTATTTGTTTAACTGTGCCTTGAGGTGGTTTTACTAATAATCTAATCTGTAATTATTATGTGTTAAAAATTTATGAAGCTATGATGCGTATTTGTAGGGTTTTAAAAAATGATATAAATTATACATGCAGTTAAATGTGTGAGATAGCTATGGTACATATCAGGTTGAATGTGGTAGCATTTGATAGTAGGTGATTTGACTAACAATCATACAATGTTTGAAAACAAAGAATTCTTGCAGTGCTTATTAAATATTGTTGAATGAATGGATTGAATCAGGACCTGAAATAATAATACTGTGCAATGGATAGTATATATTTAAGGCCCACAGTGGTTAATCAGGTAATGCAAATGACTAATTTAGCTGGATATACAATGAACGGTTCATCATTATGATTTCCTGGAGAGTACATGCCCCATCTAAAAGGAAATAGCCACCATCAAGTTTTGCTCATTTTTGCTGTGTGGGAATATGGGCCTAAGGCTACCAGATCCTTTGTTTTTTCAAGAGAATTCTTAAATACGGATTTTTACATAGATTTCACGGATTATTAAAACACTGGTTAAGCCAATCAAAAAACATCTCCAGGCTCTTACACATGATCTTTGAGCTATTGGCTTCGCAACATGTGGTTTGTGTTTTATTATTCTAAGTGTCTAAACAGAAGTTACCAAAACTCAAATAAAACATTCTGCTATGGTTCGGATCTAGTCCTAAGCAAAGGAGAGAATCTCTTAAGATAAATTTGATCTTTCAGGCTCTGAGAAAGCCTATTTAGTTATGCCACTGTGGGACATTAGAGAGAGATGTGAAGTGGTGGCCTAAAGGTCATCTCCTGAAAGAACCACCTGGCTTAAGAATTCCCAAGAAAAATTTCATCTCTGCTCTAGGTTCTTGGCTGTGGAGAGAATTAAGAGTATAAAAAATGGCTACAGGGCTTTCTCTTTTAAAACATTTTCTGAAGTGCTACCTGCTACTCCGTTTGAACTGCTAAGATGCCTGAAAAGGATCTCGTATCATTTCTTTTTTTTTTTGAGGCAGAGTCTTGCTCTATCGCCCAGACTGGAGTGCAGTGGCGCGATCTCAGCTCACTGCAACCTCCGCCTTCCGGGTTCACACCATTCTCCTGCCTCAGCCTCCTGAGTAGCTGGGACAACAGGCGCCCGCCACCATGCCCAGCTAATTTTTTGTATTTTTGGTAGAGAAGGGGTTTCACCATGTTAGCCAGGAGGGTCTCAATCTCCTGACCTCGTGATCCACCTGCCTCGGCCTCCCAAAGTGCTGGGATTACAGGTGTGAGCCACCGCACCCTGCCGGATCTCATATCATTTCTTTTTCATTTATTGAAAAAAATGAAGTTGATTATATATTTTAAATTTGTATGTACCAGCAGTGTGTTAAGAGCTGGGGCTATACAGCTGAAAAAACAAGTTTGCTCCTTTCTGGAGGCTTATAATCTGGTAAAACACTTGATTATCTGTTAGTACTTTAGTGACATCAACAACTAACTGAGCAATAACCGGATAGTCACTTGGTTGTCAAGAGTAAGGAAAGGAATGCTTATAGTGAGTTTAGATTCTAGGAAAATAACCTTTACTTGCCTCAGAAGGCTGCCCAAAGCTGATACTAGCTGGTGTTGTCCAGTGGGCAAATTAAACATATATTTAAGGCATCATGGGAAGAGGCTTACAATAATTGAAAAAAAATTGTATTAGAAAAAGAAATTAAGCATGGGAAAAACCAGGATTTAGTTGAGCTTTCCTGCAATTATCTTTTGGTTTAATGTCTTTCTTCTTCTTCTTCTTTTTCTTTTCTTTTTTTTTAATTATATGTTGAGGGAGCTGGCCGCAAGTGGCAGGAGAGCACAGTAAATGTTGGAGGCAGACAGCCTGGCCTTGAATCTGGCTTTGCCACTTACTAGGTATATGACCTTGGCCAAATTACTTAGCTTTTTTGCCTCAGTTTCCTCAATTTGGAATTGAGATAATGATATTACCTATCTCGTGCTAATATAATAATGTGTTTGGAACAGTGCCTGGCATATAAGTACAATACAAATGTTGGCTATTATTTTGGCCTCTAAAGGTTTATCTAGCTATATAGCTCTGGCTTGTCACTATCTCACATGCTATGTTTGGCACACCTAGGAAAAGACACGCTAAATGTTTTACCTATTTCAAACTCATATAAATCTCTGTTCTCTAATCAGCTTCTATGCAAGAGTTTGCTCCTGATTGCTTTTCCTTCCATTCTTTGACTAGGCCCGAAGGAGAACCACCACTCAGATGGAATTGCTGTATGCAGATAGCAGTGAACTAGCTTCAGACACTAGTACAGGAGATGCCTCCTTGCCTGGCCCTCTCACACCTGTTGCAGAAGGGCAAGAGATTGGAATGAATACAGAGACAAGTGGTACTTCTGCTAGGGAAAAAGAGCTCTCTCCCCCACCTGGCTTACCTTCTAAGATAGGCAGCATGTAAGTTTGGCCCAGCTACACTAACTTCTTTTCTTTTGGCTTTAAAAAAAAAAGTATGCATGTTGCTAATTTCTTATTTCTATTATTTAAAATTTATATAAATTTGATCTCTGGTTTTCGAAATAATTTGCTAGGTGTTGTCTCCCCTAAGGTATTGGAGAGTTGAAATAATTTAAGATGAGATGTCCTTTGTTGAATTGCTTTGTCTTGTCTCCAAGTTTTAGGATCATTCTTAAGGGTTATAATTTTTATAAAGGCTGACTTATGAATTACAGAAAATACATATATAGAAATACCTAAATTAAAGTTATACCTATAAAACCATTATATAACTATTATGTATAAACAGAAAGTTTAGACTCTTAAATTTGCTCTAAATTACCTATATCCTAGTTTTAAGAGTCCTGTCAGGATAGTAAATGTTTGCTGACTTTTAAAGAAAAAAGAAAATACCAATTACAAGTTTAATACATTTTGAGCTTTCCTAATTTTTTACCTTGAAGCATATTGCATATTCTGGGATGAGTGTATGCCCCAAAAATATTTTTATTGGTATTATTAAAGATTTGAAGGAGGAAATATTCTCTTTCCTATGATAATCTGAACAAAAAACCTTCTATTCAAAATAAATCTTGCATAGACTATTTTTAATTATTATCTTGAGGACAAAGAAAGATTTTCCCACATAGTCCTGTGTGTGTATGCGTATGTGTATGTGTGTGTGTACATATGTGTACCATGTGTGCATGTGTGTGTTTTGATAGTTATATTAATATTAGATTAGTCATTCACTGGTAAAGATTTTTAACGTTATTTTTCAAACTAATCCTCACATGTGATCTAGCAGATAATTTATGGAATGAATACATCTCTGCACTGAGGAATATTGCCCCCCCAAAAGTGGCACACACTATATGATCTGTAAATAATACAAAATAACAAACTTTCCAAACTTGAATAGCCATTTTTCATAATATTCTTCATTTTATGAGGACATTTCCATTGTTTTCCATTCAGTATCCCATCTGCTACCTTTTGTTCCAGAATTAATTTTAATGATGGCAGAACTTTCTTGCATGTGCTTGAGGTGGCCTATGTAATTAACTGTTGGATCTGCTGTTAGAGATTGCTAACCAGAATAGTTTATGGCTTCATTGCTTTTGTGATAAGATGAGAATAGAAGAAATGCTTTTGGTGAAGGTAGTGATGTAGAACTGAGGTCAGATTTTAGGAACTAAATGTGTTAGGTATTTAGTCTGTCAGATGAGTGAGACTTTTGGAACTTCAAGACTAAATCTGTGGCCTGGAATCCAGATTCAGGTAATCTATTTGTCTTTTTACATTTTAAAAATGTATCCTTTATGACAGGTTGTAAAAAATATCTTTTGGGCTCTGCCTCTAAATAACTTACTTTAAAGTTTTCATAAATTCACATGCTTATACTCATATATTTGTAATTCTTTATACATTGTGAGAGTTTGGTCACTCACTTGGTGCAGTAACTCTTATAAGCCATTACTGCGTAATTTTACTCAGGTGATGCTTATAATTTAAATGATGCAGGATTGCTAAAATGTGATTTCCTGATTAGAAAAAATCAAGCACACAAAATTTAATTACATTTAGTTTTTGCTTTTAAATAGGAATCATGCAAACCCATTCTGGAAGTGTTGCTGTCTAATTCCTTAGTGTTTTTTTTTTCCCAGACTTTTTTTTTTTTTTTTTTTTTTTTTTTGGCAGAGTCTTGCTCTGTTGCCCAGACTGGAGTGCAGTGATGTGATCTTGGCTCACTGCAGTCTCTGCCTCCTGGCTTCAAGCGATTCTCCTGCCTCAGCCTCCCAAGTAGCTGGGATTACAGGTGCCCGCCACCACACTCAGCTAATTTTGGTATTTTTAATAGAGACAGAGTTTCACCATGTTGTCCAGGCTGGTTTTGAACTCATGACCTCAAGTGATCCACCCACCTCAGCCTCCCAAAGTGTTGGGATTACAGGTGTGAGCCACCATGCCTGGCCCAGACTTTTTTTTTTTTTCAGTTAAAATTCATTACCACCATATACAAAAATTATTTTCTTGAATTTTTAATTACAAGCAGACATTTGGCATTTAAAATATTTAAGGCCAGAATACTTTTATTACTAAAATGTACATAGATACAAATTAAATACTAGCTAAGTAAAATAATTATGTATTTTTGTGTGTGTGATTACCTATAGAACTATTTTGTGATTGTGTCTCAATATTAATTCATTAAATCTCATTGTTTCTCATATTCTGATATTCTAATATTTTTGTTCTTACAAAACTATAAAGATAATTTTTCTTCATCTGAAATAATTACCAATGAAATTAAAACACATCTAAAATATTTGTTGTGGCTATTTGGCGGTATATCACTGATATTTATATTCAAAGATAGTAAGTTGTTACATATTTAATAAGATCACCAATTTAAAAATTATAGTTGCTGAGCTTCCATCAACTAAATATAACTCATGTAGTATTTTCCTATGTTAGTTTTATTTTTTGTTCTCAAGTAATAATCTTTCTGAGGTTCCAGTTATTAACCTATTACAAATTTTAGATTGACTATCTACCAAAGTTGTATGTGCAAATTTAGAATTAGGTAATTAAAGAATCTTCTTTTACTTTAGTTCCAGGCAGTCATCTCTATCAGAAAAAAAAATTCCAGAGCCTTCTCCTGTAACAAGGAGAAAGGCATATGAGAAAGCAGAAAAATCAAAGGCCAAGGAACAAAAGCAGTAAGTGACTAATGTTTTTTACCTGCTAGACTGTATTAAATGCCTGCTGCACTTAGATGCTAAAGATAATCATGAAATTATTTTCCAGATTTAGGCTGGTGCTGTGGTTATGACTATTTGACTAATCAAGACAGTCAAGTCAGCTTTTGGCTTGGCTCGGTGGTCTAATATTCTTGGTCATACATATACCTGTAAAGATATTTGAGCACTTGTCCCTGATCATGTCCACTTACTTACTTGCCAGTTATTTGTGTATATCATTTTAAGAGTTAATATATACTTGAGGTAAGGCTTATTAAGTCTATATTTCAGATAGTCTTCTATTAATAGAAAAATTTAGAATTAATTTTGACCGTCATTGCCATGTTAGCTAAAACTGATCTTGACCCTACCTCTTTAGAGTGGCTGACAGAAAAACTAATATTAATCATAGGGTGTGTTATTGTGCCATTTTCTTGTTGCTCTCTCATGTTTACATTGTTGGTATTATCCTCAATGTTTCTTCTGTGTGTTTTGTGAGGGTTAGTTTACTTAGCAGTACATAGTATAATCTGATTATCCACTTAACTGGGCGTTTACAAATTGCAACATGACAGCATGCAGAAGTTGATTGGATTAGAACCACTGTTACCCTGCCACCCCTCCCTCAGTTTACCTGTTCTGCATGTGACAGGCAGATCTCAGACATGTCCTTGAAAGCATTTATGCGAATTTACATTTAAATATTAGTGAAGTGAATTACTTTAATTTCTTTGACATAAAAATAAATGTGAATATATTTAAAAAGAAGTGTTCATTTATTTTCCGTGCCTAAATGGACAATTCTATACCATCCACTACCCTGTGCCAAGATGCACACTGTCTTTTTTGACCATGGGTTTAGCTGACTTGAATGTCATAGAAATTATCCTTTTTTTTTTTTTTTGAGACGGAGTCTCGCTCTGTTGCCCAGGCTGGAGTGCAGTGGCGCTATCTCGGCTCACTGCAAACTCCGCCTCCCGGGTTCACACCATTCTCCTGCCTCAGTCTCCCGAGTAGCTGGGACTACCGGCGCCCGCCACCACGCCCGGCTAATTTTTTTGTATTTTTAGTAGGGACGGGGTTTCACCATGTTAGCCAGGATGCTCTCAATCTCTGACCTCATGATCCGCCCGCCTCGGCCTCCCAAAGTGCTGGGATTACAGGCGTGAGCCACCGTGCCTGGCCGAAATTATCCTTCTTATCACCCTTGCTTCCTGTACTTAAAGATGTAGTTTGCCTGTGTCTACTGAATTAAATCTCTCAAGAATAATTGGGAAATGGGGATGGAGCACATAAATGATTTAAAAATAGATGAATGAACCAACTGAATAAGCAAACATCTCGTAAGCTCTCTGGGTCTCTTTCCTCATCTGTAAAGTGAGCAACTTTCTCTTGATTCTAAAATTGTATAATTTTAAATGTGGCTTGCTTTATTCTTATACTGACTTCTGATTTCAGCAGACAGAATCTTCTCTTTAGTGCCATCTTGTGGCCAATGTAACAAAATCCAGTGAAAAATTTTAAAAATTGTTCAGAATGCATTTTATCTTACAAAAAAGGAAGAAAGGAAAGAAGGAGTTCTCTAATAAAAAGCTTTTTTTTAAAAGAGCATGTTTCTTATAACTTTTCTAACAAATCATAACCAATTAAAGCCACCTACTTAATGTTCTTTTTTTCTTGTAGCTCAGATTCTGGAACTTCAGAGGCTAGTCTTTCACCTCCTTCTTCCCCACCAAGCCGGCCCCGTAATGAACTGAATGTTTTTAATCGTCTTACTGTTTCTCAGGGAAACACATCAGTTCAGCAGGATAAGTAAGTCATTATGGAAAAGAGCCCCAATTATTTATATAATATTCTGAACCTGTCAATACAGTCTGTAGAAAACATGTAGTCATCTCTGTGTAGGAGATGGAGCCTGACGTGTGAACTCTTGCCATATTTTATGCATCTTTCCAATGGGAAAGGAACCATGCAGCCAAAATTAGAGAAAATTATTTTCCTGCTGAACATTATTCCCTGTTGTAGATTTGTATTGGTATGCCTTCAGCACTTGTCTTGCCTTTTCTTTTACAAGTAAATTAGAACTGAAAAATCTTTGAGACCACTTGATGTTTAAATTTTTGGAGATTCTTCAGCTTCTGTGAGCCCACAAAAGCCTCTAATTTAGATAGCCTGAGTTGGAAAGAGGCAAATTACTTTACTTCTGGGGGATATAACAGTTTACAAAGACCATTGTTACAAGTGCAACACGTTTTTGTCATCTGATTGTTCTAGACAAGTTCACCACAAAATTTCAATAATTGTGTTCTTGGAATAAAAAATCACCTTTACGGATGGAGAGAGTAGGACTGGGAGTGGGTTGCAGGGGTGGAGAAGTTGGAGGGATGTGGAAAATGTAAATGTCATCAAATTTGAAATGACAAAGTATCCACACATTGAGCCAGAATCTCTCTTGCAAGAATGCCATACTAACAATACTGCCATAAGGTATTTATTAACTCTGACTTGTCTGCTTGGACTTGGAATGATAATGATTGTTTTCTGCTATTGCCTCCCTGTATAAATCAATAATCTCTAAAATTTATAGGATGCCATTTAAGATCTGTCTGTCTGGCATGTTTAGATCATTTTAAATGGCTCTATAAACTTAGAGAATCATACCGTAGTTTTTAAAGAATTATAAATATACTTAATTTATGGATAATTCTTTTATTTATGGATCCTTCATTAGATTTTAATATGGTTTAATTAGTAGAAGATATGTTCTTTACATTGATCTAGGTAGGTAAATATTTTCCTGTGTTATTAAACAAAATACTCTTTAACATTGTCAAATTATTTCTGTCATTAATTGAGAAAAGTTGAACATTAGGAATACTTTTGGGAAGTCAAGTTTCACTAGGTATACGAAGAGTTGCTAAATTTGTGTCTACCTTGCCTTCACAGTCAGAATATTTTCTGTCAATCTTTTGATAATCTTGACAACCTAATCACAGTTCCATATTTTTTACTGAAATACTTTATGAGCTACCAATAATTTGACTCTGTTGTCATCTCTATAAACTAAAATGTAGAATAACTGACTGCTCTACACTTTCAAAAACTTGACTACCCCTTTACATTACTTTCTCTGGGGCTCCTTTTTGAAGCAACCATATCCCACTAGCAAGACGCAGATCTCCCACATTGTTTCAGGTTACATTCTATGCTAACGCTCACCATATCCTCATTCTCCTCAAGCCTGTTGTACAGTCGAATAGATTTTCTTAATAACCAGACTCACTGCAGTCTTGGAGGCCTCAAGGTAGGGCTAACAGAAGTGACTTGTCCATTCTAAAAGCCCACTAAAGTACCCCAGCTGTTACTCAGATGCTCCCTAGTCAAAAGAACTCAGTGTTTTTGAGATAAGTTAAAGCCAAAAGTTATTAAATTTTGAGTGACTTGCTTTCTATGTGAAAACACAATCTATTTTGTGTAACTTCAACATTAGAGTCTATATCTAAAGTGATAATTATCAAGGTGAATAAAATTGATCAACAGTTATTGAAATGGGAAAATTTTTCCAGGACTAGTCAAATTAAATAGAGCAAACCTTGAAGTGCTATATCTCATGTACTTGATACTATTCTTCTGCAAGGCCTAAATTTTAGAAGTGAGGATAGATTTTGTATATCAGTATTAGAAAATTTTAGCCCCCAAAGTCTTGCTAGAAGACATAAATATCAAACTTTTTACGTAACTTAGCTATACTTTAAACATGCTAATATCCAGTGCAAGTAGAAAAGCAGGGCACTATGAAGGAAATGTTTGCTATATATCTGTTATTCATGCTGTTGATTTTGAGTCCAAAGTCAGTGTCCTTACCTGTTGACATCTGTATTCTTTCTCTCATAATTCTAACTCTTTCACTATAGGTCTGATGAAAGTGACTCCTCTCTCTCGGAGGTACACAGGTACTTTCTTTCCTGCCTTTCCTACATTCTGGAATTTCATTGATGTTCTAAAGTGCCTTCCTAGAAATTCTAAGCAAGTCTCATTTTTGTTGCATGCATCACTTGTTGTAAATCATATAAATGCACTAATATTTCTAAACATGATAATTTTAATACATTTTTGTGGTCATACCTTTTAGATAAAGTAGTGGTTTTTTTTGTATAATAGTTTAAAAATTGTGATACCTGTTTTCTGTCTGTAATCTGAATCTTTTCTTTAAAAGAAATCAAGTTTTATGAATATTGATGTCAAGAAGATTTCTTACTCTCAACAATTAGGTATTTCTAATGCCTCAAAGTGTGTGAGGTAGATAAGGTATTTTTTTCTTGTTGGTTTAGCAATTTTAAGTAAAAAGATTATATGATTAAAAATAAAAATATGCTAGAGAAAAAAAGGATACTATTATACCAAAAATTAAAAAGAATAGGAAATAAACACTAAGGAAGCATTTTTTAAAATAAATATTCTTAAGAATAGGTGCAGCTTTAAAAATAACTGTTATTTTTTTTCATTTTATGGATTTTTCTGGGGGTCCTTAACTTCTCTTTCTCTTTCTCTCTGTCTCATTCCCTTTCACCATTATCATTTTATGTCCTCCCTCTTTGCACTTGTTTTCCTTGTTTTATGGCCATTTTTGCTGATCATCAGCAGATCCTCCAGAAGGTAGGCAGGGGAAGGGAGAGGAAATTAATTTCATTTCCAGTATCAAAAGACCTTACAGGTTTGCATGGAACAAAAATAAGTGTTTATTTTTTTCTCTCCTTCAGATCAAGTCTGTTGTACAAATTTGCCATATTTAACCTTAAACTTGTTTAAAGTTGATTTTATATTTCAAAATGTGAATAGATTAATTCAAATAGAGAAATACCATGGCTGTATGTTTCTAATATCATTAAGTTTCTATTATCTTTGGTAGTTTATATAAAATATTAATCCTAATATTCTGAATATTTAAGAACATTTTAAAGTAATAAAACACTGTGTTTAATATTGAGATTTTTTTTCTCAAAAGACTGAATAATCAATGACATAAAAATACATAAGAATGAAAAAAGGGCATCCTGATCTCCTGGAAATAACTGTGCCATACATAAGTTACTGGGGCAAATATTTACTGAGTATTTTATGATACTATAACCTTTGACATGACAGAATTGTGTTGAATATTACATCATCAGGGAAACATTTAATAGATTCTTAGGATAAAGCTTGTAATCTGAAGGAAAGAAACCTTTGGAGACACAGTATTACATCTGAGGGTACTGTTTAGCTTTTTTCTTAAGAAGATTTGTTATTAAATGCACATTGAAAATAGCTCTTAGGCTGTTAACATGAATTGTTTTCTTACAATCAGCTTTTTGACCTATATATACATATATATTTTCTGTTTGAGAATTAACAGTAGCAACCTACTATTCTGTAGAATCATACCTTTTCAATATTTGAAGAAATATGTGTAAATTTGATGGCTTCAGTTCATATCTATGAACCTTAAGACATCAAAATTTCCAAATGGCAGATTCAGACTTTTGAGCGGGTTTTGCTCCAATTTCAATTTTAATCTGGTTAAATTGTTAGATTACAAATTACTGAGCATTAGTTTCAGTAATCTCAAATTGACACATGTATGCAAATCATGGCATCACATTTCATAATTATATATCCAGAGATAATAATTCCTTATATCATTTATAGGGATAAGAAACTCCTATCACTTTTGTGATCATTATAACCAGACTCTAAAAATAAATGTTTTTTTCTCCCCAACTCTAAATTTACCTCCTTTAAATTTCCATTCGTTAGTCTTCATCAGCCCTTTTTTTCCCTTACCAGAATTAATTTTATATATCTTTTTGTTTATATATGACAGCTCTTCATATATTCAGCCCTTTTAAATTATGCTGTTGTATCCTCTCTCCGGTAAATGTTCTTTTATCAGCTCAATAGTTTCATCATCTGTTCCTTATGTAATATAGTCTACAGATCCTTCATTCTGCTTCTACTGTTTTGTAAAGGCTCCAATTTTTCAATGTTCTTCTTAAAATGGGACATCTAAAACTACACCTCATTCCATATATGGCCTACATAGAATGCAGTAAGTCTATCGCTGTCTTTCTCCTGAAATATTTATTTCTATTAAACAAATCATTGATAGTGAGTCGGCATATAAAATAAATGAATTTTGTTTCAGTGATTTTTTTCAGGCAATATAATGTCCAGTTCTTTAATATATCCATTTAATAAGCATGCCACTTCTCCCTAGGGCTAGGTAAAGATTGACTAGATACCAAAGATCTTCCAGATCAGCAGTGACCTTGACTCGTTAGGTATGACTCTTCAACTACCTGTGGAAATACTTTACTCTAACAGTTCCATACTTATTCACATTGTCCACAAGGATATCATTTAAAAGTCTTATTGTATGGGCTTTATTAGAGTCAACATATATTGTGAATGTGACATTCCCTTAAATTGGTATCCATTAACCCTACAAAAAACTTTCCCCATGAAATTGATAAGCCCATGTTATCTTTTGTTGGTGAACATTTATTTTTAAGTGGATAATGATTTGCTTAATGTATTCCTCTTTGAGACTCAACGAGAAGTTGAGTTTCTGAATTCCACGTTTTTCCTGCATTTTGGAAGATCAGGTCTACATGTTTTGTCCCTTTTTTTGATCTTTGTGATTTCTTAGAGCACTGACAAGGATTTTGCTTACACAATGGCATATACTTTCAAAACCCTATGATATAATGATTTAAAAACAGAAATACTTGAATTTATTGAATAAATCTCCATTGTCAGCTCTAACTTATCTGGGGCTCACGTTTCTTAATCATTTCTGCCCTCTTGCATCTCGAAGATTATTCTCTTTCATTAAGAAGATGGAAACAAAACAGTTTTCCTTTATCCTTATATTTGTCCTAATATGCCATTTGTCTTACATAATGGACATAATTCAACATAATTTGAAGCATATAATGCTTTGAGTGAAGGTACATTTGACTGTTTGTCATGTCTTAATTCATTATCATCTTTAGCCTCCCCAACACCATTATTTTAATTCAGACCCTATCTTAAATTCCTTTGGGAGAGGGACAATGTTTTGATAATCTTTATATTTCCATAGTACATAGCCCAGTGCCATAAAGCAGAAACTACAAAAATATCAAATTTATGAGAAAGCTCCCTAAAGAGCTTCATTGTTTTTAATTTTTTTATTTTAAATTTTTGCAGGTACATAGTAGATATATATTTATGGAGTACATGAGATGTTTGGATACAGGCATGCAATGCACAATAATCATATCATGGAGAATGGGGTAGCCATCCCCTCAAGCAATTATCCTTTGTGTTGCAAACAATCCAATTATACTCTTTTAGTAGTTTTAAAATGTACAATTATTATCAACTATAGTCACCCTGTTGGGCTATCAAATAGTAGGTCTTACTTTATTCTTTCTATTATTTTTGTACCCATTAAACATCCCCACCTCTCCCAACCCCCACTGCCCTACCTAGCCTCTGGTAACCGTCCTTCTACTCTCTATGTCCATGAGTTCAGTTGTTTGATTTTTAGATCCCATAAATAAGTGAGAATATCCAATGTTTCTCTTTCTGTGCCTGGCTTATTTTACTTAACATAATGATCTCCAGTTCTATCTATGTTGTTGCAAATGATATGATCTCTTTCTTTTTTTATGGCTAAATAGTACTCCATTGTGTGTATGTACATTTTCTTTATCCATTCACTGTTATTTTAAATTCTCATTCTTTTAAAATTTTCTTTGAGATTGTCAGTTCTTTAAGTTTTTGATCTTTTTAACCCATTGTCCCTTTAGAATTTCTTTTCATTCAATTATTCCTATCTTCAATTTTTGTTTGAAATCTGCTTTCTTAGTATTTTAGGTGGCATATATATTACACTTTCTCCAGCATGTTCCTTTACACACCAGTTTGACATAGAATTATGTTTTCCTGTTATTTGTCATTTCTGCTCCTTCCTTATTTGTCAGAATTCAGTACACTCAAATAATTCCCATTGTGGCTTCGTTAAACCTTGGAGAGATGAAATTATTAATAAGAAAATCTAGATGTATTATAGTCTTTGCTCTTTGCAGAATGCAGCTGTTAGCAGATGCCTGATTAGTTGATATACTCCATCACTATTATTATTTCACACTTTGTCCTTTTGCTTAAAAGAGAGCAGTCTGGATTTTATTACTAATTACTTATAAAGACTTCTTAAAGTTAGGGGAAAAAAACAAAACTAGTCTCATGATATAGTCTCATGATACTGAAGTGAGTCTTGGTTTGTTTGTTTTTTCCCCACCTTAGGGGCATAATCAACCCATTTCCTGCTTCAAAAGGAATCAGAGCTTTTCCACTTCAGTGTATTCACATAGCTGAAGGGCATACAAAAGCTGTGCTCTGTGTGGATTCTACTGATGATCTCCTCTTCACTGGATCAAAAGGTGCTAGTAGTTATCTAATGCAGATATTTAATAGCTTTTTTTTTAAAAAAAATTACATTTTTAACATATTCTAGAAAACTGTCAAACTATTTAAGACCAGAAAGAATCGGATAATCTGGTTCAACCCCTGAATGTAAAATATATAAAATTATTGCATAGTTGAGCAGCAAGTAAAACCTCTGTTGATGTTTTGTGAATACAATGGTGACAGAATACATCTCTCTACAGTATTTGGGCATGTACTGCATGTAGAGTCCTGAATTTTGAAATGCAGGTTATATAAAAATCTATAAAAGGCTATTTAAATATACAATATGGGAAAGAGAATAAGATGCATAGCAACCACTATTTCTGCAACACTTACTACATATCAGGGGCTATGCTAGGCAGTATACTAATATATCTCACCTAATTCTCACAACAATCTCAATGAGATACATGTTGCATCCTCATTTTGTAAACAAAGAAACTCAGGATTCAAGTGAATAAATACTTTTCTCAGGTAAATTTAGCTAGTAAGTGGAAGAACAAGGATTAGAAACCTAGGTATACCCTTCTTCAATCCTGCACTCTTAACCCCTTTTGTACAATTGCAAGTAACTGGAAACCAGCTATAAATGCTTTGAAGAGTTATAGACTAAGAGTTTTGGGGTTCTGGAAAAGAGAGGAATTATGCCCAGCTATGAGAAACAAGGAAGGCTTTGACAAGGAGTCATTTAGGAAGTACCGTATAGGATGGTTTGGATATTTACAGGTAGGAATGAATAATCAAGATTACAGAATAACATAAGCAGAGACATGAAGATAAAAGTGGAGCATGTTTGGAAACTAATTCTACTTGGGTTGAAAAATGGAATATGTATAAGAGAAGTGCTGGTCATTGAGGCTAGAAAGGTGAAAAGCAAGCATGTACAGGAATTCAGGGAGCTAGTGAAAGTTTTTAGCATTTAGGGATAGTCCAAGATTCACTTTAATCAGCAAATATTTATTGCTCATTGTCTGTGAGGGAAGTATAAGATCCCAGCTAGAACTTATGAATTGAGAGTAAAAGTAAAGAAATTCTCCAATTAAAAAAACATATGTTCTTTGAAAATACTGTGTTTTTCTAATGATTCAAATTAAATATTTCTCTCCAGTATAATTAGATATTCAACATATCAGAAAAAGAAAAAGAATAGTTCTGTGATTATATTTTTGGGTCAAAAATAAAAATATAATTTATCAATCATTGACCCTTGGGGGGAAAAATGTGTGTATATTTACTAGTGTTGAGAATGTTGTGAGGAGGTAGGAATATGATCAGAGAAGAATGTTTTGAAGAGGCTGATCTGAGACTGCCATTCTAAATTCAGTGGCAATTTGAAGCAAGACTCTTGATATGACCATTTCAAAAATTTTCATAAATATTTTTTCAATACCACATGATACATACACCAGACATCCCAGACTTTTATCTGATCCTTTACACATACCTTGTCTTTGAGCCTGTTGCAGAGGGTCAAGGATGAAGTTAGGATCCTTGTGGTATGTTAATTACTATTTTCATTTCCTTCCCATAGAAGAGAAATTATTTAAATAATTTTTATTGTTAAGAGAACCTAAAGTAGTTCATATTAATGGTGTTTTCTTTTTTTTATGTGTTTGTTTTAGATCGTACTTGTAAAGTATGGAATCTGGTGACTGGGCAGGAAATAATGTCACTGGGGGGTCATCCCAACAATGTCGTGTCTGTAAAATACTGTAATTATACCAGTTTGGTCTTCACTGTATCAACATCTTATATTAAGGTGTGGGATATCAGAGATTCAGCAAAGTGCATTCGAACACTAACGTAAGTAACTTGAAGACATATAGCATAAAGGAGGAATAGCTCTTCTTTTTTTTTTTTTTTTACAAATATAAGAAAAGAGAGGACTATAAATGCATTTTAATTTTTGTATACCTGTCCACTTCCCAGAGGATATTAAAGTGTTCACAAAGAAAAGCACAGATAAGAGGGGGGAAAATTTGACAAATGAAATATAAGAGCCTGGTATTAAACAGAAAGGGATAAGCCATATTTGATCGGTGACTAAGTATACATTTCATATTTTCTCCCTCCCAAATATAAGGTATTACATTTTCATACTATTTCTTACTTGATAGAGTTCAATGTTTTATATTACTTGCTTCAAATAACTACCATTCCTTGGGAAATGGCTGAAATCACCATGGTAGGCAGTGAAGAAGTACTTATAACTTTTAATTAACAGAGATTGAAAAGCTGAGAGTGTTTTTTAAGGACTGAGACTGCTTTGGTGTGAGTACAAATTTCATAACTGCAGGTTATTTTGGTTAATTGGAGGATTAATTTGTTTTTTCTGTGCTCATTATTGTATTTGTCTTTAAAAGTGTAGAACAAGTGATTCTTTTTGCTGTGATATTGATGAATTTTTTAATAATCAAAATTGACGTAAACTCGGTAGTCATTTAAATGAGAGAAGGGAGCATAAGAAAGGTTAATTTTTACTAATTTGTAGAGATAGTAGAGACTGTTTTTAAGTGCTGTTTTGTAATTTGAGAACTACTTTATTATTCTTTTTACTGAATACAAGTCTTGAAACTCTTGTAGAAAAATAATACTATTATATCGTGTATTAAGATATAATATATCTTATGTTAGAATTTACCAATTCAATTGAATCACTGAAGTTAAATTTGAAAAGATTGATTATGGCTTAATATTTTAGAAGTTAGCTAAGAAAATGTTTCAAAATTTAAAAAAAATTTCACCTAGAATTTATCTGAAGAAATAGGCATACGTTATGTTTAAGGCCTTAGATACTCCATCTATGATTGGGTTAAAGTAAATGAAAACTGCAAATAATTCAAAAGGTCTCCGTTGTCTTTAATCCAGAAAGGCAATTCTTATACACAAAAGAGTATTGGTAAGCCTGGCCCTTGGGTGGAGTGGGGTGGTGCTTCTGGAAGCTGTAGGAAAATAAATTACTTTTGTGGCAACGTATCATTTGTTGATTTTTTTTTTTTTTGAGACGGAGTCTTGCTCTGTCTTCCAGGGTGGAGTGCAGTGGTGCAATCTCGGCTCACTGCCATCCGCACCTCCCAGGTTCAAGTGATTCTCCTGCCTCAGCCTCCCGAGTAGCTGGGATTACAGGCACGCACCACCACCCCCAGCTAATTTTTGTATTTTTAGTAGTATTTTAGTGTTTTTAGTAGAGATGGGACTTCACCATGTTGGCCAGGCTGGACTCAAACTCCTGACCTCAGGTGATCCACCCACCTCAGCCTCCAAAGTGCTGGGATTACAGGAGTGAGCCACTACACCCAGGCATTTGTTGATTTTTTTATGTTTAACATTAAAAAAAAATCTAATCTTTTCTGAAAGATGTTTTAGCCCTTCCTAACTCAGGGCCTGGAATTACTAGTATACCAAGTAAGAGTTTTAAACCATGTAATCTTATTTTATTCATTCATAATCTTATTTTATTTATTCATCTCTTCACTTACCAAATAATTATTTATATGCACCAACTCTGTGTTAGGTGCTGTGCTAGGTAGTATACATATAGTGACAAAAGGACACTGTTCTTGTTGTTGCCTACAGCCAGTTTCCTGGGAATTCAAGGAATTCTAAGCCAAACCCAAGTCCAGAAGTGTGACTTTTTTGCTTTGTTTGTATCTCTTAAGGTCTTCAGGTCAAGTTACTCTTGGAGATGCTTGTTCTGCAAGTACCAGTCGAACAGTAGCTATTCCTTCTGGAGAGAACCAGATCAATCAAATTGCCCTAAACCCAACTGGCACCTTCCTCTATGCTGCTTCTGGAAATGCTGTCAGGATGTGGGATCTTAAAAGGTAGATATTTTTAAGAAAACATACCTCTTGCCTATGGCAAATACAACTTCAGACATTAATAACATTAGTGCATGTGAAATCCAATTTTTATGACCCCAGAAGTTAATGTAAAATCATAGGCTTTTTTATTCAGCATAGTACCTCTAAATGTCTCTTGTGTCCTTATTAACAAACTGACAATTTTCTCTTTTTTTTAATCTCCGTTGCTGGGGAAAATAAGTATATGGGGGAAAAATAAAATTGAAACATTACAATTTCTTAATATTTGCCTACAAGTCATGTTGTTTACTAGGAAGAGGTCAAGATTCTCATCCTAGTTTCACCAGCACTCTTGATAGAGTTATTTCTTGCAACATCGTTTAAACATCTTATATCTTAAATTTTTTAATTTATAAAATTAACAACTTTGGGCATAAAGTCCTCAGAATTTTTGTGAATATAAAATAAAATATATGTAAACTATGAAGTATTAAGAAGATAAAGTAGTTAAAAAGAAAAAAATGATAAATTAAAATTTAAGGCATTACATCTTTCATTCAATTTTTATTTCCTATGAAGTGTGAACTCTTTTCCTTTAGTTGAGTGTTTATGTTAGCTTGTTTTCTAGTTCTTAAAATTTTGGCAGCAAGGAAACATTCACTTATTAGTTAACAAATATTTATTCAACCCAAATATGTCAGGCATTGCACCAACAGTGTGGTGAGTACTAGGAATAAAGACAGAGCAAGACAAATGTTGCTGGTCTTGAACTCCTGGGCTCAAATGCTCTTGCCACCTAAGCCTCCCAAAGTGCTCGGATTATAGGCAGGAGCCACTGTGCCCAACCTAGATCTACCTTCTTAGAGCTCATCTTATAATGGAGAATAAAGGCCATTAAACAGGCTATTACAGGATTCTTAGTAACATTTCCAATTCAGGTAATATGGGGTGCCTCTCATCCAGAAGGGATTTGCCAGTGGTAAATCAAATGGATGGTTTTTTGAAAAACATTGGGAAAAACTAGTGTTATAATTTATAACATTTAAAGCATGTTAAAGTATGACTGGCAAAATATAATAAACATAATTTATAGATAAATAGATAAGAGAAAAACCAGGGTCCTAACTACTGTATTATAAATAAAATGTAGAAAATTAAAAACAGTACTTTTTTAAGAAAATGAGAAAAGAGGTGAGGACTTGGTTTATTCTTGAAGATATTTAATCTGACTCATAGTAAGAGCACCATAGAAGAAATAGTCAAAATCATGACACAAGGCAGAAAAGATACCAGCTTTTGAAAATCTTTTGCACTTTTTAATTTGCTGATAGGTTTGACTCTTGGAGACCTGGTTGATTTCAGCAAGATGCTACTAATTAAGTGTAGATCTTAACAAAGGAACTAAGAGAATAGTTTTCAAGAAACTGTAATATCTTAGAAGCTAGATACATGTCTTTATTCCAGCAGCTTGATTTGAGGTAGGACTGTGAAACGAAGGTTCATTGTTACTCTCTGCCAACTGACATCACACAGTTTTCTACCAGCCGCATAGCTGGTCATTTTCATGTCTTTATAATAATTGATGAAATGGACCACTTATTGTCTGATGTACACATCCACACAGATATGTGTGTACATAGATATATGTATGTATATATGTGCATATATGTGTATATATGATGTACATGCACTTATGTGTATTTGTGAAAATGTGTGTGTAATAAAATAATTTTACTTTCTCAGTATTGTTACTGATTTTGTAATTACATCAGTGATATCGTCATTTTATTTGAAATTCAAATTGGACCTAATCAGTCCTATGCCTATCACATATTCAGACATTTAGCAGATTGATGTTTAGGTGGATTTAGGTTGGAGTTAAAATTAATCATTTTTTGCACTTCTGCTGCTTTTTTGCTTACCTAAATGACATTAGTCAGCTTTGGAATAACTTATTTATGACTCTCCCGTTTGCATCATAGATTATATTAGTTTTGACTAACTTGAATAGAGTTTCGTAGATGTGGAGCTAAAATGAAAAAAGCTGGTGATGCACACCTATAAGTCCCAGCTACTGGGGAAGTTGAGGTGGGAGGATTGCTTGAGGCCAGGAGATTGAGACTGCAGTGTGCCATGATCATGCCTGTGAATAGCCACCGCACTTCAGCCTGGCAACATAATGGAACCCCATCTCTGTTTTTTTTTTTTTTTTTTTTTCTTGAGTCGGATTCTCGCTCTGTTGCCCAGGCCGGAGTGCAGTGGCTCAATCTCGGCTTGCTGCAGCCTCCCACCCCCAGATTCAAGCGATTCTCCTGCCTCAGCCTCCTGAGTAGCTGGGAGTACAGGCACCCACCACCACATCCGGCTAATTTTTATATTTTTAGTAGAGACGGGGTTTCACCATGTTGGCCAGGCTGGTCTCAAACTCCTGGCCTCAGGTGATACGTCCACCTCGGTCTCCCAAAGTGCTGGGATTACAGGCATTAGCCGCTGCACCCGGCCCAAGATCCCATCTCTAAACATATACAAAGAAAAAAAAAAGTTAGTGAATTATTTTATGAAAGAATGTAGATCGTTTATGTTGAGGCTTAGTCCCATCATACTAAGAAATAATTTTAAACAAAACTATTTTTCTTTATTTTTAAAGGTTTCAGTCTACAGGAAAGTTAACAGGACACCTAGGCCCTGTTATGTGCCTTACTGTGGATCAGATTTCCAGTGGACAAGATCTAATCATCACTGGCTCCAAGGATCATTACATCAAAGTATGTATAAGAGACTTTCTGAATTATATTTGTCTATTAAATGATAATTTTGAAGTATTCAGATTCATCTAGGACCTCTTTCTCTTATTTTCTTTTTTCCTTTCTAGTCTTTGCTTTTTCTTTTTAATCTTTTCCTCATTCATAGTTAGTGGTTTTGTTGTCTTATTGTTCAATCATGCATTCTCACTTTTCATAGAAGAAAGGTTGGAAAACATTTTAAAGCTCTTTTAACTCAGTCTTCCAACTCATACATGAGTCTTATTGTCATGATCTTTTATCCCGAAAATATTATGATCTTCAGAATTTTATGAAATTAACAGATAAGGTAAGGAAAGATGCATAGTTTGATTCTAAAAATGTTAAATTTAAATGTTAAATGAAATACTAATAAAGGACATTCACGTGGCCAGAAGGCCATTAGAAATTCAAGTCTAGAGTTTAAAATAAGTTGTGACTAGAGATGTAGGTTTGGGGAGCCATTCAAAGAGAACCAGATGTTCAAAGAGTAAAGAGTTGATGATGTGGCCAAGGTAGAGAGAAGTTGACTGGGAACTCAGCCTTGGGGAATATCTGTGAGAATCAATAGGAAGAAGGTAAGAAAGAGAGGTAGGAAGAATGTAAGTACTCATTCTAGAAACTTTGATTAAGAAATGAGAGATGGGTTAATGACTTGAAATTAGAATGGTTAAGAAAAGAGGATTCTATACCCTAGAGACATGAACGTATTTATGTACTTAGGAGCTGGGCTTAGTGGAGAGGGAATGAGTGAGGAGAAAACTGAAGTGGTGGCAATTGATGAAGGTGGTAGGAGGAGTTAGATCATAGATGTGAACATTGAAAATAAGTAAGTATACTTTAGCCTCTGATAAAGAAGGGAAGGGTAAAAAGAAGTTTGAAGATAAAAAGAAACTTTTAGAATGGAGAAGAGTGTCTAAAAAGTTTATTTTTTATGACACTAGCCTTTTCAGGAAAGCACAAGGTTACGGGCTAAGAGAGATGAGTGCAACTGAGGAAAGTGAAACGATTTTGAACAGCAGCTTTGGGGAATTGGAGATGACCTCCGGGACTGCAGAGTTACCTAATAGTCATTAAATAATAACCATATTGTTTATTTGAATTTCAACTGGATTGATATGTAATATTTTTATTATTGAACATATCATTTGTGCACTTATACATGAAAAAAATCTGGTTTCCTTTCTTAAAAGCCTACAGACACAAAGCATGTAACATGCAAGCAAAAGTAGTGTGAAAAAAAGGGCACAGGTTTATCTTCAGTTGTCATTCATGCCAGGTTAATTTAATTAACTTAGTAAAACATACATAACAACAAATAACAAAACAAAACAATAATTAAGAGCTGGTGCCATCATGCATGCCTGTAATCCCAGCTACTCGGGAGGTTGAGGTAAGAGGATCGCTTGAGCCTGCAGTTAAGGCAGCTGTGCAGTATGATTGCACCTGTAAATAAGCACTGCACTCCAGCCTGGGAAACATAGTGAGACCTTATCTCAAAATAATAAATAAAATAAATAAAAAGAAAACATTTAACAAACCAGAAACAATAGATAACAAAACAAGTCATGTCTGATTAACATACATGTGTATGTGTTTCTAGGACTGTACAAATATTGGTGTTTATTTGCAAGTTAAATAGGATAACTGCTTTGTTTCTACCTTTTTAGATGTTTGATGTTACAGAAGGAGCTCTTGGGACTGTGAGTCCCACCCACAATTTTGAACCCCCTCATTATGATGGCATAGAAGCACTAACCATTCAAGGGGATAACCTATTTAGTGGGTCTAGAGATAATGGAATCAAGAAATGGGACTTAACTCAAAAAGACCTTCTTCAGGTAATGCAGAACCTTTTCATGGTATAGAGTGGGCATTTCAACACAATCCTGTAGCCTGTAGAAGAACTTGAAGAGCTTCTATGTAGATTTTTATCATTTACAGATAATATTAATCAGGCCTTTTTCTTAAAGAATGTTTCATCCTCCCCAGAGTTCTTCACTGGGAGAAGGGAAACAGTCAACATTGAATAATACCCGCTAGATAAGAGAAGAAGAGATGCTGATAAGAGTTGAAAGATCTAGGGTTGCTCCATGCATGTGTTTATTAAATAAAATCAGCCTGGGAGTAGAGCAGTTGCAGTTTCTCATTTTGTTTTGCTTTTGTTTATGTACACCTATTCCAAAGAGTTCCAAGTTTAGCTAAAGTCAAGAGTAATATAAATAATTCCTTATCTGTAAGAGCATTTTCATGCATCTAAGAGTGGTGGTTCTCTCATTTCCTACAAAATGATAGTTGGGTTGAAGTGATGTGTCAATAAATTCAAATATTGCTGTCTTTTCCTAATTCCCTGGAAAAGAAATTAGTTAACAGATGAAATTCTTTTCAAGTTTTTCCTTATATATATGTGTGGGTATTTATATGTCGTAGTTGCTTCCACTTTCCTGCTTGTAATCAGCAGATGAAAACCAAACAAACAAGAAACATAAATATTAATAGAAAAATCTTGGCAATAGATGCATATACAGTGTTGCATTCAAAAGCTTTTTAAAAATAAACATACATTCATGATTATAATTTTATATTGTGCATATAAATACACTTATGCATGAAGTATAGTCATATAGTCTGATCTTGTAATTACTGTTTACTCATCATGAAATATATAGATTATCTCTGGTCTTCTGCATAAATCTTCAGGCCTCTATATTCTCTATTGAAAGTTTAAACTGGTGGTATTATGAGCCAGTCCTTATAGTCCACATACCAGGTTGCAGTTTTCAAACTTGCTTTATTTAATACATTTTGGAGAAAGGTAATATATTTACTGCCCATGAAGAGGATGTGATGCTCGAAAGTTCTATGTATTTTCAGGGTCTTTTACATTCTGTAGATTATAGCCCTTATATGCTGATAACAGTGATGAAAATTAGTGAGGCAAGTTGGGAAGCAAATTATCCGTTTATTTCTTTAAATCACTAAGAGTGATTGCATAGAAAATAAACTTTCTCCAGCCAATTCCAAATATCAAGTTTTGGCAATAAAATGTTTTTCAGTTTATTTTCATGTGAAAATGTCAGTTTGGAAGCTCTCCTTAAGCTGCTGATTTCACTTTTTTTCTTTTAGCAAGTTCCAAATGCACATAAGGATTGGGTCTGTGCCCTGGGAGTGGTGCCAGACCACCCAGTTTTGCTCAGTGGCTGCAGAGGGGGCATTTTGAAAGTCTGGAACATGGATACTTTTATGCCAGTGGGAGAGATGAAGGGTCATGATAGTCCTATCAATGCCATATGTGTTAATTCCACCCACATTTTTACTGCAGCTGAGTAAGTTTTCTTATATGATTTTTCTCTATATTGGTTGCTTCTGTTCAGATTTAATAAATATGTTGTAAATATCTAGAAACGTTGAATATACAAAATCCTTCTTATAATCATTCTAATGTCTGTTTTAAGATGTCTTATTCATATTTTCTGATGTACATGTGGGCACTGAATTTAGGCACCCCAGGTTACATGACAATACTGTTACTCCTGTATAGCACTCTGCTTATTTTAGGAAGTGTGCTGTCACATGTTTCCTTGATGATTTTGACTTTTAGAAAATAATGACTAATTTCTAATGATTTTTATTTTCAGAAAGGCAACAAATTTGCCATTCTTCATATTTGGAACAAATTATTTAAAAACTCTCTGTGCTTCCTCCTCCCTTTAAAGTATAAGTACATAGTAATAACATCTGCTTCCTCCCGCTTGTGGATGGCTGGATTGATTGACTCATTTGTTCATTCACAATGAATCTTCTAAGTGCTGGGAATTGTTCCAGACTCCTGGGAATACAGCAGTGAGCAAAACAGATTCCAAACCCAGTCTATATTCTTATGAGAAGAAATGGAAAATACATTAGGTAGAATGTGTTAGATGGTGACAAGTGCAATGGTGAAAAAGAAAAGAGAGAAAGGGGATGGGATTTTCCTAGGGCAGGGTTACAAAATAGGGTGGTCAGCGAAGGCCTCATGGAGAAAGTGACATTTAAGATACTTGAAGGAGGTAGAAAGATGTGACTGTAAAATGACAGTTTATATATATAAATGACATTATATATAGTACATATATATATGTACTTTGAAAAGGAAAGTGTATGTATTATATAATGTGAAGTGTAGGTCTCATTCAAATAAAATGTAATTTCTTATGACTATCTAAAACACCTCCCAATTTTGTTTGTGTACCATTTATATCTATTTAATTTGAGCACTGCCTTTATTCAGTGTATCTCAAATGCATGAACACCCTGATTTTATTTTGAAGCCTTTACTTTATTTCTGTGTCATTTATTTTTATTTGTGCAGTTTCCATTGACTTTCTCCTTTCATTTAGATTTACTTTCATCTTTAAGTTGCATCAGAGCCGATTTATTTTGTTTTTCTAACGTGCTTACCTTTGATGCTTCATTGATGCTATTTCCAAGATGCATTACTTTCTGAAAAGTCACCGCTTTTGCTTACTTCCTTGGAAACTTATTGTGTCCTTGAAAATTTACTGGATATATCCCACATTGGCTGTGGGACACCCAATACAAGACTTAGTATTGTGTATCAGTGAGGCCTGGGGATTGACATGTAATGTAATTGTACTTACTTACCTTCCAGGATATGGTCTCAGTTTTGAAGAGCTAAAATTTTTCTTTTTTTTTACTTTTATTTTAGGTTCAGGGGTACATGTGCTGGTTTTTTATATGGGTAAACTTGTGTCACCAGTGTTTGTTGTTCAGATTATTTCATCACCCATGTACTAAGCCTAGTATCCAATAGTTACTTTTTTCTGCTCTTCTCCTTCCTCCCACCCTCCACCCTCAAATAGGCCCCAGTGTCTGTTGTTCCCTTTTTTGTGTCTATGAGTTCTCATCATTTAGCTCCCATTTATAAGTGAGAACATGTGATATTTGGTTCTCTGTTTCTGCATTTGTTTGCTAAGGATAATAGTCTCAGCTCCATCCATGTTCCCACAAAATACATGATCTCATTTATTTTTATGGCTGCATGGTATTCCATGATGTATATGTACCACATTTTCTTTATCCAATCTGTCATTGATGGGCATTTAGGTTGATTCCATGTCTTTGCTATTGTGAATAGTGCTGTTATGAACATTTGTGTGCGTGTGTCTTTATGGTAGAATGATTTATATTCCTCTGCTATACACCCAGTAATGAGATTGCTGAGTCAAATGGTAGTTCTGTTTTTAGCTCTTTGAGGAATTGCCACACTGCTTTCCACAATGGTTGAACTGATTTACACTCCTACTAACCAGTGTATAAGTGTTCCCTTTTTCCACAACCTTGTTGACATGTGTTATTTTTGACTTTTTAATAGTAGCCATTTTGACTGGTGTGAGATGGTATTTCATTGTGGTTTTAATTTGCATTTCTCTAATAATGTTGAGCTTTTTTTCATATTCTAGTTAGCGGCATGTATGTCTTCCTTAGAAAAGTGTCTGTTCATGACCTTTTTCTACTTTTAAATGGGTTTTTCGTTTTTTTCCTGATAAATTTGTTTAAGTTCCTGAGATGCTGGATATTAGACCTTTGTCAGATTCATAGTTTGCAAATATTTTCTCCCATTCTGTAGGTTGTCTGTTTACTCTATTGATAGTTTCTTTTGCTGTGCAGATGAAGAGCTAAACTTTTTCTCAGCTTACTCAGTGTCTATCACATGCAAATATGTCTACTACATATTTTCAAAATCACAGGAAAATAACCAAGAAAATCAGAAGGAATTTTAAAAAATTAGTTCTACTTACTTATTTAATAAATATTTATATAGTGCTTACTATGTGCGAGGCATTGTTCTAACTGCTTTGCAGACATTAACTCATTTAGTCCTTAGAATAACTCTAGAAGTTAAGTATTATTATTATAATCTCTATTTTACAAGTAGGAAAACTGAGGCACTTTATAACTTACATAGATAATTTCATCATACCTGTCATTTCTGGATCTGATATCATTGATTTTTCTCATAATTACTGGTCTCATTTTCTTCTGCTGCTTTTCATGTCAAGTAATATTTTATTAAATGTTAGACATTGTAATATTTTGAGTATCTCAATTTTGTTGTACTTTTTATTCATTTAAAGAGTATCAGGCTTTGTTTATCAGGCAATTGGATTACTTGTGGTTCAGTTTTATGTTTTTAACACTTGTTTTTAACCTTTGTTAGGTAGGTCTAGAGTAGCCATTACTCTAGGGTTAGTTGGCTCTTCTACGAAAGTTTAACTCTTCCTGCAGTTCTACTGAATGTCCCAGGTGTTCAGTGGTATCTCTCTACTATACCGGTCAGAAATTGAACATCTCATAGCCCTGTATGAACTCTGGGAGGTTTTCAATATATAGCTCCCTGGTAGCTGTTTGCTGTCTGACCTTATAGTTGCACTCTACTCATGTACAACTTAACATTCAGTCAAAGACTTTAGGGGACCCTATGTAGATTTGTAGAGTTCTTTTCTCTGCATAGATCTCTCCTCTTCTCTACTTTCTGGATTTTGTTTTGTCTCTTCAGCTAAGTGCTCCTGTGATTCTCTGCTTGGGTTCCCTCTCCCTTTGCTGTGGTGTGGAAAATGCTTCCAGGCAGATAGCTGGGGCTATCACACAGTTCATCTTCTTTGTTTCCCTTTTCTCCAGGATCACAGCCTCGCACTGCCTTTTGCCTAGTGTCTGAAAACAGCTGCTCCATAAATTTTGTCAAGTTTTCTCTTTGTTTACAATAGGGGGGTTAACCTGGTGTGAGTTACTCTGTCATGGCTAGTAGTGGAAATTTAATCATCTCAAACTTAACATATCCAAAATTGAGCTCCTGATCTTTTCTTTTCTTTTTTTTTTTTGATAATACCAAAATACAATACTTTATTATTTTGATCAATAATAATAATAATAATTATTATTATTGCCTGCTCCCAGGCAATAATGACAAACTAGAATAAAATGGTATATGTGTGTCTAAGGGTGGGGTTTTCTTGTTTATTTTGATTTTGGTTTCATTTGTTTTAGTTTAGCTCTATTAAACTTTTTTTTTTTAATTTAAGTTTTAGGGTACATGTGCACAATGTGCAGGTTAGTTACATATGTATACATGTGCCATGCTGGTGCGCTGCACTCACTAACTCGTCATCTAGCATTAGGTATATCTCCCAATGCTATCCCTCCCCACCCCCCCACCCCACAACAGTCCCCAGAGTGTGATGTTCCCCTTCCTGTGTCCATGTGTTCTCATTGTTCACTTCCCACCTATGAGTGAGAATATGCGGTGTTTGGTTTTTTGTTCTTGCAATAGTTTACTGAGAATGATGATTTCCAATTTCATCCATGTCCCTACAAAGGACATGAAGTCATCATTTTTTATGGCTGCATAGTATTCCATGGTGTATATGTGCGACATTTTCTTAATCCAGTCTATCATTGTTGGACATTTGGGTTGGTTCCAAGTCTTTGGTATTGTGAATAGTGCCGCAATAAACATACGTGTGCATGTGTCTTTATAGCAGCATGATTTATAGTCCTTTGGGTATATACCCAGTAATGGGATGGCTGCTCCTGATCTTTTCAAGAAACCTGCTCATTCTACAACCTTCTCCATCACAGTTGATAGCTTCCTTGACATTTCTGTGCTTGGGACAGAACCTTTCATTCCTCCCCTTCTTTTGTACTCCATATCTAATCCATCATCAAGTCCTGTTAGTTCTACCTTTAAATTATATCTAGAATCTAACCACTTCTTACCACATCCTCTACTTCTTCACCAGACTTAATCACTGTCAACTCTTGAATTACTATAATAGACTTCTAAACAAAGTCCTTTGCTCATATGTAGTCTACACTCAACACAAAATCTACAATAATCCTTTAAAAGTATGTTAGATGATATTCCTTCTCTATTCAAAACCCTACAGTGGTCCTCCATTTCATGTAGAGTTGAGTCCATACTTGATCTTGCCCTCTGAACATCTATTATCGCCCTTGCCTTATCATCTGATACCCTCTGGCTTGTCCTTTTCTTGCAACCCCAATAACCTCTTTGCTGGTCCTTGAACATTCCAAAGCCACTCCTGCCTGAGGGCATTTGCCCTAGCTGCTCTTTTGGCCTGGAATGTTTTTCTCTCAAATGTCCTGACCCTGCAAGTCTTTCTTCCTCAGTAAGAGTATCCTGGCCATTTTATTTAAAATTGTAATCTCTTCTATCACCTAGCACTCCAGGTCCCCTTGGTTGTGCTCTCCTTTTTTTTCCACCCCTGTGGCACTAGTCACCTTCTAATATACTCTATAGTTTAATCATTTATTATGGTTTATTGTCTGTCTCCTTTTGCTAAAGTATATGATCTACAAAGGCAAAAGATTTGAGCTTTTAAATTTTATTTTTGTTTTTTTTAAAACAGCATATCCTGGCCAGGCGTGGTGGCTCATGCCTGTAATCCCAGCACTTTGGGAGGCCGAGGCAGGCGGGTCATGAGGTCAGGAGATCGGGACCATCCTGGCTAACACGGTGAAACCCTGTCCCTACTAAAAATACAAAAAAATTAGCCAGCCATGGTGGTGGGCGCCTGTAGTCCCAGCTACTCAGGAGGCTGAGGCAGGAGAATGCCCTGAACCCGGGAGGCGGAGCTTGCAGTGAGCCAAGATCTAGCCACTGCACTCCAGCCTGGGCCACAGAGTGAGACTCTGTTTAAAAAAAAAAAAAAAAGCGTATCCCAAGCACTTAGAATGCTTTTTTTTTTTTTTTTTTTTTTAACAAACAAACAAAAAAACCATATCCCAGGGTGGACGCAGTGGCTCACGCCTGTTATCTCAGCACTTTGGGAGGCCGAGGCAGGCAGATCACGAGGTCAAGAGATCGAGGCTGGCCAACATGGTGAAACCCCATCTCTACTAAAAACGCAATAAAAATTAGCTAGGCATAGTGGCATGCGCTTGTTTTCCCAGCTGCTTGGGAGGCTGAGGCAGGAGAATCTCTTGAACCTGGGAGGCAGAGTTTGCGCAGAGGAGCCGAGATCGCGCCACTGCATTCCAGCCTGGCAACAGAGCGAGATTCTGTCAAAAAAAAAAAAAAAAAAAAAAAAAAACATATCCCAAGCATGCTTGGCATGTAGCAGGTTCTCAGTAAACATTTGTTGAGTAAATGGTTGAATGAATAAATGCAATGCTTGAATGGGTGGATAAATGAAAATATTCCATTGCTGTTATCAATGTATGTGTGCTGTGTGGGATGGTGAGAAGATAACTGATTACAATCTAGAAAGCCTGGGTTCTAGAAAGCCTTTGCTGTGTTACATTGGCACTCCACTAAACCTTTTTTCCCTTGGGATGGAATACATAATCTCTGAAGTGCATTTTAACTATTAAATTCCATGGAAACTCTTCTTTATTTATTTTTTTTACTTTGGGTTAATCAGGAAATTGGAAAAAGAAACATTTCTTTAACCATGAGAGATATGTTAAGAAATGTGATTATCTAATGACTGGTCCCCAGTATTCACCTGCGAGGGCAACAGAAACATGTTTTCTCAGAAATACTATTTCTTCCCTTTTTATAAAAAATTTCAATTTCAATGAACAATAACTGTGTATATTTACAGGGCATCAGAATCGCTTTTAATCTTCTACATTCTGTGCTAAGTGGAGTATTAGTTCACTTCTCAATAGCCTCTTTATTTTTCTGTGGGCTTATTTGCTGAGTTTACCCAGAGATAATTCTTCATGACTTTGCCAGATTCGCTAACTCCCTAGAAACCCTGCCCCAGCTTTCTCCCTGCCTAGAAGCCTCACTGTGACCTGCAGGCTGTTTTGACTGAAGCCTTCTGACACTGTGTCAAATCACATACTGTCTTTTAGAATAATGACTGCAGACCCAGTGTTAAAGAGATAGGGCTCGGAGCCAGACTGCCTGGATTCACATCTCAGCTGTGTCACTTACATGTGATTTGGGCCTCAATTAGCTCTTCAATAAAAAGAGGATTATAGCAGTAGCTATTGCTGATGGTAGTTAAAGGGAATTAAATGTGTGTTAACATATGTAAAGGGCACATGGTAACAATGCCTGGCTCACAGTAAGCCCTTGATAATATAAGCTGTTATTATTAAGGTATGTGTTTGCTATATAAATGAGACAATGCATATTTATACTTGGATTTCTTGAAGACCTATGTAGAAAATATTTCCATGATAAGTAATTATAAGAGCTATTTCTTTATCTTTCTGCCCTTGTTCATATATCCATGTTTTGTTTATTTTTTTGTAGTGATCGAACTGTGAGAATTTGGAAGGCTCGCAATTTGCAAGATGGTCAGATCTCTGACACAGGAGATCTGGGGGAAGATATTGCCAGTAATTAAACATGAATGAAGATAGGTTGTAAACTGAATGCTGTGATAATACTCTGTATTCTTTATGGAAAATGTTGTCCTGTACTTACTAGGCAAAACGTATGAATCGGATTAACTGGAAAATATATCTGAATTCAACTGCTGACTATAAATGGTATTCTAATAAAATTGTGTACTATCCTGTGTGCTTAGTTTTAAGATCAACCAATAGATATATATCCTACAATTGATATATTGCTTTATTCACACTTTTATTGTGGCTGAATTTTTGTGCCTATCTATAAAACACACTTTCAAATTATTTGAATTACCAAGACGTCTGCTTTTGTGACAGTCAGAAAACACACCTGGAATACGATGCAGCCCACCATTAACTCATTCATGTAGTTTATTCAAGTGATTTATGTATTTAAACTAAATATTGAAAATGTTAGTCAAATTGTGGTTTGCTTGTCAGGTATTTATATCAGTCTGTAGTGGATTCCCAAATTTCAAAGCTCTTTTAATGTAATGGACAAAAATAAGATATGAGAATATTATTGATGAATTTTCATAAGGTGGAATTGATCTTAATCTACTAACAGAGAAGGGTAGACAGTTTGTGTTAAATGTTGGCATTTACTTGTATTGACCAAAGTTTTGCAGCTCTACTATATTCTGTGCTCAGGACTAAAATGCTGTTAATTTTTTTTTTTTTTTCCAGTGCTGTGCATATATTCTGTGATGGGAAACATTGTTGATGTCCTAACAGAAATATATTTTGATCTATTTTCCTATGGAGTTGTTTCTATTATGACCATTTAATTTTGTTTTTATTTAATAGTAGTATTTCCTTCCCTTTTATCTAATTTTTTATATGCTGCTAAATATATTTTAAATATACTATGTTTGCGAACCTTGGTAGCTATGATGAGAGCTATTATCATCTGTGGTGGGAAAAGCTATGTAAATAGGTAGATTGTATAGAGAGACTATCTTGTGTTGTGCCTGTATGAATTTTTAAAAGTTGTTGACTGGATTTTGCAAAAGGATGTATAATATTTCTGTCTGCTCAGAATATTAATTTGTAAATTCTGCAAGTTTAATTTTTATGTAGATGGTATAACATTTGAAAATATTGTCTTATGTGATTTTTTCCCCTGAAAATATTTGCTTGTAAATGAAAACTTAGCTAGGGCTTAAATAAACATGTTGCTATGAAATTATTTTTACTGTATTGTTCTTTTTCCAAATTGCAAGAGAATGGCCAGTGTTTGTAAAACTTTGTTTTATTTTTGTGTGATGGAAGAAAAGACATATTTTTGGTTATCTGGCAATCCATATGCCTTCCTTTCTTTGCTTACTAGACGTGAAATATTCTTGAGGATTTTAAACAGTAACCTAATCTTGATGAACCATGGAAACTCACTACTTAAAGCAATTAAGTTCAACTGTGTAATTTAGGAATTTGAACATGGATGATAAAACAAAACAAAAAAAATTCCTATAAACATTAAGACAGTGGTGACCTTGTTTTCTAGAGAAGAGAAGGGGTGGCTTGTGACTGGCAGGTGTCACAGCAGGTGAGTTGGGAGGGTTGGGAGGGTGCTTCTGGGGTCCTAGCAATGTTGTAATTTTTGACCTGGGTCCTAAACTTAAGCATTCACCTTCTACATACATGTTGAACTGTATGTATATTTCTCTATCCTCTTTTATGTATGTGCATATGTTCTAAGTTTCATAGCAAAATAATCTTTGAAAAAAGTTTTAAGGAAGAGATTTTCCTATAAGGACAAAACTCAGCTCCTTTGTAATTTTTCCTCCTTCCCTGAAAGAAGGTACCATGCCAAGATCTGAAAGAGACTTCAAGACTATTTTAATTTCAAGTCTCTTGCAGTGTTTCTTTTTTGCAGGTTTACAGCTCAATAATTCATTAGCTTGATAATTGACTTATTCAATAGATGTTTAATGAGCATACACATTGCCAAGTATTGGGGGTGAAAAAATAACAAAACCGAGATGACACTTGCCCTCTGAGTAGAGTGAGATAATAAAACCAGCATTTACATAATAGCTTGGTAAGTGCTCAGATAAAGTCCAGGGTGCTTTAGCACCTATTAGACATATCCAAACTTAACTGCAAATCCAATGAGAGGTCCTGAGCACTGTGTTTGGTTGTGCAAAATACAAAGTTCAGTGTCTAATTTTACCTTTTAAAATGCTGGAGGCTCAGCTAGTGTGGATCTGATTGAAGAAATTCAAAAGCATATGTAAAAGAGGCAGCCTTCTTTAAAAAAATTACATTTTGAAACATGTTAACCCCTAAAGATCCCATTCAGAAATGTTAAAATAACTCTTAAAGCAGTTGAGATAGTGCCTGTAAGATTTAAAATGGATTACTCCACACTGTGTATTAAATATATGTTCTGTTCCCCCATACACACAGAATAGCCTCTTCTTTTTTTAGAAGATATGTTTCTGGTTTTAAATCCAAATCTCTAAAAGTTTGCTAAGAAATAATTACAAGATTTTTCATATTAATTCAGCTCTACCTTACAGCTTCACATTTATTATTTAACTCTCAGTTGATGTGGAGTCTTTCATAAAAATTTAAATTAAAATCATCAACAAGCAATATCTTGTTTCATGCTGCTATTTGCTACTTTTCCCAAGTGTTTCCCATACCTTAACTCAAAATGATTTCAAATTCTGTTTTCAACCTCATAATAGATAATTCTTCTGCTTTGTTATTGGGGATTTTATTTGCCAACTACTGTGCAGATGCTAATGGCTGGAATTTTGTATTGTATTTACAAATTATAAAATGTACAGATTGCTGTGTGTGAGCGTCAGTATACAAAAATAAGAGTTGTCTATCCTTTCAGTTTTTAAGTTAAATAGCAAGATGCTTAACCACTTTTAAAATATGCTGCCACTAATCTCTCCTTTTATTTTTTAATATCTTGATGAGGATAATAATAGCCAACATTTATTGAGCATTTATTTTCCCCTTTTGTTTGACTGGACATCCCCTGAAGTAGGGGAATTTAAAATGCCATCTCCCAAGTTTGGAGATGTTTAATTGTGAATAAATAGTATGCATCCTAGAATTGATGAAATATAGTACTACATGTTGTGGGGGTTTCTGCCAAACAGATAAAAATAGTGACAAATGTTGTCTATATCATATATGGTAGAGAATATGATTCCAAACCACTTCTAATATGCTTTAGTGTATGTTAGATTTAGGAAAAGCAAAGACCACATTTCCCAGACTTGCTTCCAACTGTGTCCCACATTTAACCTGCCTTCCACCAAACATATAAATTCAGGCAAGAGGTAGAGTGAGGAGGAACCAGTGTTTCTGCAGCGCAATTTTACAGGCTTTTTTTTTTTTCCAGTGGCAACAGTGACAGTGTCCCAGCTGGTTACTAGCTGTGGGTGCTGTGAGATCAGGCATAAGCGGGTCTTTTTGTTGGCACCCAGCTGAGCTGCTGGTCTTGGAGTCAACAGGGGAGAGGGGCAGTGGCTCCCTAGTTCCCCGTCATCCTGACTGGTGGAAGCACTAATTTGATAGACTAATTCTGGGAGATAACCTAGCACTTGCTCCTCTAGTCCTAAATATTTTGTAAGCACCCACTTTTCTATGCTAAATTCCTTCCTGCTTAAACCAACTGCAGTGTTTTCTGTATTTGCAATTGAATTTTAAAAGATATACTATCCCTTTTTGTCACCTGTGTTCAAAATAAATGGAAGATGTCTTCCATTTATTTTTTCCAGACTCTTAAGTTAGTTCTCAGAAATGACCATCCTCTTTTCTCATTAATCTATGTAGTTGTTTTCACTTTGAAATCAATACTTTTCAGTTGTCTGGAGTCTTCCTATGTTGGAATAGAATCTCATTAAGTACTATGATTCTTTATGAAAGTCATTGTCTTCGCTCTCCTCTGGCAGGTCTATGTTCCAGAGCCCCCAGGAATTATTCTGCGTTGTCCTTCATCCTCCAGTTGCTCAGTTCTTCTTAAGTGTGCTGTGCTGTCTTCCCCCCCACCCCCACACTTATAGTTCTATTTACCCTGAGTGGTCGGGGCTGGCTGGTGCTAGGAGCATAGTATTCTACTCTGATCGGTCTGCAATTTACAACAAATTGTCAGTCCTCTATTGATGCCCCGGGAAATCCCTTCTGCTCTTTCTTGTCTCCCAATCTGTATGTGTCAGCCTTCTCCAGTATATGCAGCTGCTTCAGAGTTCTGCTGGGCCCGCAAGACTTCGCACACCCTCTCAGGACAGCAGGCATTCAGAGATGCCGCTGTTCCTTAAAGGCATCCATAGTGCTGCTGTCTCTGTCTACCCTATTAGACAGGCTCCTCAGGGTTTTGGCCCTGTCCAGTGTTTTATTCAGGAGAGTTGGAGTGCAGAGATCATAGATACATTTTCATGCTTCCTCACTCATGGCAACAATTTAACGCCATCACTGAAAAATATGCAACAAATAAAAACTGAGTGATAGGAAACCTAATTTCGGTTAGGACTGCATTCACCTGCATGTACCAGGAACCTGATTAGGATGTGTGTTATCCTCTGACTGGACTATTAGGCAGTTTTTATAATTGGGAGTCTCTACCAGAGGTAGGCAACTAGGGGTGTCTTCTACAAGCCTCCTCAGGAAAGACAGGAAGTGGCTGAGAAAGTTAGTAATTTTCAGCTGCTTTGGCTATTAACTGAAGGATCCTAAAACAAGGTTGGTGCAAAAGTAATTGCAGTTTTGGACAATGAATTTTAAATCATGATAACTAAACTCAAACACATTAATTACAAAAAAATAGGAACCATTACAATAAACACATGAGAAGTTCGTTTATTCCTGTAGCATAAAAATCTGTGCTTCGGGATTCTTCAAACTCTTGGAAAGAATTTTCTACATTCTGCTGCTTGTGGAAGGGTTTTCCCTGCAAAAACTTTTCGAGATGCTTGAAGAGCGGTAGTTGGTTGGTGAGAGGTCAGGTGAATATGGCAGATGGGGCAAAACTTCATAGCCCAATTTGTTCAACTTTTGAAGCATTGGTTGTGTGATATATGGATGGGCATTGTCGTGGAGAAGAATTGGGCCTTTTCTGTTGACCAATGCCGGCTGCAGGCACTACAGTTTTCAGTGTGTCTCATTGATTTGCTGAGCATATTTATCAGATGGAATGGTTTCACCAGGATTCAGAAAGCTGTAGTGGATCAGACTGGCAGCAGACCACCAAAAAGTGACCATGACTTTTTTTGGTGCAAGTTTGGCTTTGGAAAGTGCTTTGGAGCTTCTTCTCAGTCCAGTACTGAGCTGGTCATCACCAGTGGTCATATAAAATCCACTTTTCGATGCACATCACAATCTGATTGAAAAATGGTTCATTGTTGTTGTGTAGAATAAGAAGACAGCACTTCAAAACAATGATTTGTTAATTTTTGCTAAGCTCACAAGGCACCCACTTTTTGAGCTTTTTCACCTTTCCAGCGTGCTTCAAATGCCGAACGACCATAGAATGGTCAATGTTGAGTTCTTCGGCAACTTCTCCTGTAGTTATTAAGAGAATGGGCTTCCATGATTGCTCTCAATTTGTCATTGTCTACTTCTGATAGCTGGCCACTACATTCCTCATCTTCAAGGCTCTCATCTCCTTTGCAAAACTTCTTGAACCAGCACTGCACTGTATGTTTGCTAGCAGTTCCTGGGCCAAATGCATTGTTGATGTTGTGAGTTGTCTCTGCTGCTTTACAATCCATTTTGAAATCGAATAAGAAAATCAACCGAATTTACTTTTCATCTGACATCAGTTCCATAGTCTAAAATAAACATAAGGTAAATAGCAAGTAATAAGTCATTAGCAAAAAAAAGTGACAAATACCCATTAAAATGATGTATAACATAACCACATTTATTTAAGAATGTATTCCAATATCAAATGGCACATTCCAACAATACAAAAACCACAATTACTTTTGCAGTCACCGAATACTTCACTTATCTGAAGAGAGCCATATCCCAGGCTATTCCTACCTCCTTTTCCCTAGACCTTCCTTTCCTATCTTCTTTTTTTCTTTCTTTTACTTTTTGGAAAGATTTGTGTTGATTGTTGTCAGGGAATCCCCCACAGACAAAAAACACTCCGTGAGAATTATCCTGCCACATGGATGGAGGAGATTTTAATTGTTTGAGACAGCTCAGCACCAACCAAGGAATCAGGAGGACTCTAGTATATGTGGCAAAGATGTCTAATTTCTCCTACCAATCCTCCTTTTCCTTTTAGTAATAGAAGCCTGGGGATTCTAGCTGAGCACTTGCTGCCCAGCCAGAGATTACATTTCCCACCTGATCTTGTAGTTGACCATGACTGTGTGCTATCGCTCTGTCCATGAGATTTATGTGGAAGTAATTACGCAATCTCTGGTCCTACTTTTTAAACAAAAAAAGAGAAGTGCTTGCCCTTTACTTTCTCTTTCCCCTTTGCACTAACTGGGATATGGAAGTGGTGATGATGAACCAACCATCACAATGCAGATGAGGACAATATCTGGCTGATGCTAGAACAACATGATAGAAGGAACCTGAGACCCTGTGTGGCCTGGTGAAACAGAAATTCCTCCCTGTCCTGGAGGAATCAAACTTCGAAGGTCAGCAAAGTTTTTTTCTGTAAAGGGCCAAATAATAAATAATTCAGGCTTTGTAGGTCACGTATTGTCCCTGTCGTACATCCTTGTTTTTACAACCATTTCAATATGTAAAAACCATTCTCACCCTGAGGACTGTACAGAAACAGGGTGGCACCAAATTTGGCTTACAGGTTACAATTTTGTTGACTCCTGCTCTGGATAATGTTACATGGGAGAGAGATAACATCTATCTTTTCTGAGCCACTGAATTGTAAGATCCTTTGTTACAGCAGTCTAACAAATATGGCATATAGCCATGTAGTTAATGACTTATAACAAAATATATTCTAGGAAAGATTTTCCGTGGAGAGGGAGTGCATCTCTCCTGCACTGCACAACCCAGACATGTAAAGCATCCCTTGTCTTCAGAGCTGTCATGTACTGCACAACTCAACAATGTACCACTCACCTTTCAGACATTGTACATTTATACTTGTTACAAGTTTAAGGCAGATGGCAGTAAATCATCTTGTGCTAAAAGATATAAAAAATACGACAGATTTTCAGCCTATGGAAGTAAACAGTGTATTCAGAAAGGTGGTTTTTCGGAACAGTAGTGCCCACGGCTGGTAGAAACCAGCTCTGATAGTGAACTCTTTGATCTCCATTGCCTAAGGTTAAAACAGTCCCCATTAAGTAAGGTTAGTTTAAAAATAATGTATTTCTTCCCTTAAACACATAAGTTGCTTAGGAAACTCCAGCTTCACGTAATTTTTTAATTATAAATTCCAAATTTTAAATACCACAATATTTTATATCACAGATGCCTCTTTAAAAATAAATTTACATGATGAGACCCTGTCTCTAAAAAATAAAAATAAATAAAATAAAAATAAGCTATTTTAAAAGTTAGTTATTTAAATTGAAGAATGTGGACAAGATATACTAACAGTTTCTCTAGGACTGATCACCCATTATTCCATGAATAATAGAAATTTCTGATAAGAATGTTGCTTAATGGAGATTTTCCTATGTTATCTCTGCGGTTCTAGTGGGTGGCAAAGGCAGCTATCCGGGTAGGGCACTGTAAAGGTGTGGCCTTAGTCATTTACACTAGGACAATAAGAGACCCTCCACAAGTGTGTAACTGGATAAAGTGTAACGGCTTCCCTTGATGCCTTCTCCACTCACACTTTATTGCAAAAAATTGAATGAGGCCGGGCGCGGTGCCTCACGTCTTGTAATCCCAGCACTTTGGGAGGCCGAGGCGGGCGGATCACGAGGTCAGGAGATCGAGACCACGGTGAAAACCCGTCTCTACTAAAAATACAAAAAATCAGCCGGGCGTGGTGGTGGGCGCCTGTAGTCCCAGCTACTCGGGAGGCTGAGGCAGGAGAATGGCATGAACCTGGGAGGCGGAGCTTGCAGTGAGCCGAGTTTGCGCCACTGCACTCCAGCCTGGGCGACAGAGCTAGACTCCGTCTCAAAAAAAAAAAAAATTGAATGAAATCCAAGTATAAACGCATAAAGGACACAAGTCTGGATCTAGTAGCTATTTGCCAACTTTTTGGATTTCTTAGCACCTTTGAACAACTTTCTGTGTTAGGGGTATGTTCACCTTATGAATTCCGCATCTCACTCCAGATGTCCGTTGCTCATTTCCCCACCTTCCGATGTGGCCAGGTTGGCAGGTGACTTAGACTCAGCCCATTAAAACCACAGGCAACAGACTTTGAATTGGAAGCTAGTGACACAAATATTGGCACCTCGCTGAATCCCTTTGATAGGGGTGGTAAGAGCTAAGGCCCATTTCTTCATGGAAGCAGTGGCAGTTTGAGTGTCAGGATCCATGCTGCAAACCATGGAGTCTGTGCCTGGTGGAGGAAGAAGCAACCAGTTATGAGGTATGATTTTGGGCATTGTTCCTGGCTGTCTACCCCCCAAAGCTTTCTCTGGCCATTCAGGAGTTGTACAACACGTCAACTAACAACCTCCAGTAAATTCCTTTTCTGATTGAACTAGTGGAGTTGGTTACTGCTATTTGCAGCTAAGTCAAAGGATGAGGATCTGCTGGAAACTGAGTTACCACTTCCTGGAAGTGACACAGATATCAGCAACGTAAACAAATGACTATAATAGATCATTTTCCTATTTCTGACACATTCACTTTAAACATCTCCCTAGATTAAAGCAGACTCTTCTATTTCACATTTCTATTAAAGGACCACAGAAGAATCTCTAGAAGAGGTCTGAGATTCCAGGTCCTTACATAATATTCTTTTATCTCATGGATTATTAATATGACTATTTTCCTTAGGCAAGACATGTCAAAGTTATTGTGCTCCTCTTAGATGACCAGCTGCTTGAACTGAAAATAATTGCATCTGCAATCCTTTGCTTAAACTGCCTTTACTTAGTATTGTTGCTTTTTTTCTCTATTTGATATTCAGTTTTCTATAAATAGGTCAGGAAAAAATTGTCCTTTTGTATTCCAAATAAGGCAAAGGTTGTAACTGGATTTCTCTGAGCCCATCATTTCTGCCTTAAGGAAAGTATTATATAGGATGGGAGCACTCCCTCCGTTTACAGGAGTATAATTAAAGATTCCCACCTTCAGGCAGAAGGCTGAAAAAAGAGTAGGTAATATCCAGTAATTGTTAGGCATTGCATTTGATATGGAATAACCAACATGTAAGAAATGTCCGGCTGGTCTCTTTCTCTTGGTGTCCTGAGAAGTTTCTTATTACAATAAAAAATTAAAGTACAATTTAACCTGAAGAGGAGTAGTCTCAAATTGGGAAGACCCTCAGACATAAACACACATTCTGTTTTTCTCAAACTGCAGTTTAGCAGTTCATTCTTCCCTACATAGTCCATGTGATTCAGAGAAACCCCATAACGAGTCCTGATTAGTCTAAGCCAGTGGTTCTCATTTTAGAATGCACCAGTCAGAGTCACCTAGCGGGGTTCTTACATCACAGATCACCTGGTCCTACCTTCAGAGTTTCTGGTTCACAAGAATTTGCATTTCAAGCAAGTTCCCAGATGACACTGGTGCAACTAGGGCAGCATTTGAGAACACTTTGAGAACCACTGATCTAAGTTGATTCTATTCCGTTTTGTAGTGGTTCAGGAACTGGTTAAGGAACAGAAGTTTTGACCAATTAAAATCCAGCATCTCCCTGGCAGTGGTTATTCATCTAGGTATAGACTCCTGACCTAGCTCTTAGCCTGTATGAGAGGAAGTGTTACTATACCACGACTAGGAGAAACCCACTGCACACTCCCACTGGGCCGATTTAGCAAGTGTATGGTTCCAACTGCTACTGGAAGCCATCTTTGACCACAGAGGAATCCATCTTTGGAATGATTACAGTGGTGGGGATGTCAGAGCAAGCTAACCCCAAGTCTGCCCAAACTTGGGACTCCTCATTATGTGAGATGATAAATACTCTTCTTGGTAAGCATGTCTGGGCTGGGGTTTCTTTACCGGCCCTCAAAAGCCCTCTAATGGACTCAGTGTTACCCAGGAGAGATGTGCCTATATGTGCAATTCAATAAGAGACAGTTTGAAGAAATTTGAGGAGTGGGTCAAAGAGTAGTTTTCTTGCAAGTACTTTGGTTGAAAATCCTAGACTTGCTTTCATCTACCTTTATCTTAGGTAAACAGAAAACTAAAAGTTATTCTCTTTCTTTCTGTCTGAGGGGTGATGTTTAAATTTCTGTTTAGAGAGGTAGTAGTAAGGAATAAAAATATGAAGGAGAGAAAGAGAGAGAGAAAGAGAATTCCAGACAGAGGAATGAGTAATCAATCAGCGGCCAGATAATAATAAATCTGTCTGCTGAGTTAAGGAATTTGAACTTAGATTCTCCATGGTGAAGCCAAGAAAGGCTTCTAAAGATGGCTGTGACAAGTTACTCTGGTGGTAATGGATTGAAGGAGACAGATATTGTACACAGGAATACTCATAGGAGGCTGTGAGAATAATCTAGGTGGGACGTTCTAAGGGTATGAAGTAGGGCAGCAACCCCGAAAATGAAGAGGAAACCTGTGGATGTGAGACAGAAAGGACTCTTTAAAGGACTGTTGAGATGTGGGAGTAAAGAAGAAGAATCTCGTGGATTTGTGCCTGGTTAATTGGATTCATGTAGTGCCAGGATAGGAAGGAGGAAGAAGAAGTCTAGAATCTCACTTTTCTCAAGCTTCCTTCATCTCTACTGTTACTACATACCATCATCTCTGACCTGGGCTTCTGCCATAAACCACCCTTCGATTTTCTCTCATGTCCTCTAATCCACCTTCCAAACTGTTCCCCAGAGTGACATTTTCCAAGTAAAATTGTATTCCAATCACGTGCTTAGAACAATCCGGAGGATTTTCATGGTTCTCCCAACAAAGACAAATGGCTTTGGGGGATCTCTATACCCAAGCCCCTCATGTACTTTTGTTCAGATTCACAGAATCTTTGCATATGGTATGTCTTCCATTTGTTCAGTTAACTGTAATCTCTTAGATCTTATTTCAAGTATGACTCTTAGGAAATCATGATCCTCCAATAAAAAGTAAATTCCTTTACAACAAAGAGCTGGTCCCTTTGCTTCACACAGTTTATATCAGTTTGTAATTCGTTATCGTGTTTATTTTATCTGTGTGCCTTTCTCACTTGACTTCCAACTTCTTGAGGAAAAAGTCTGTCTGATTGTGTTCACCCTGTATCCCTTGCATCTAACACAGTGCCTGCCACGTAACAGGAGTTCAATAAATATTTGTAGGATGACTTTATTTTAGGGGCAAGATTATGAGGGTTTTTTTTTTTTGTATGTCAGGGACCGAGATGCTTGCAGGGAACCCAAAGAAGTAACTAGTAGCCCGTTTTATAAGAAGGCAGCTTCAAAATGTCAAAAATGAAGAAAAAGGTTGACAATAGTTAGTTGAATATTTGAAATAGGGTTTCATAACTTTGCTTGAAAATAAGCAGTTATTAATATTAGCTTAATCTGCCAACAAGAGTTTTTTTTAAATGAAGCAAAGAAAATGTCAAGATTAATTGAATACTTTACAAAGAAGCATACTAATAAGCTGGCAGAGATTTTATACTTCTGAAATTTAATAGGAAAGTTTAAACATGGTAATCCTGTCACTGAAATGTTTAAAAAATATGATCTGAAGAGAGATGTCGTGTTTCAAAAAAAGTGCACAAATGATTGCAAAATCTGATGAACTGAACAGTAAGGAAGAAAAAAATTAACCTAATCCTCTATACTGGAAGTTATTAGTGAATAATGTGAAGAATTTCAAATGAATTAATTTCTTTATTCCATTAAGTTATGATATGGTTTGAGAAGAGTAAATCAGATAACAAGAATGTCAAAAATCAAGAGACTGCTTACCACAAGAGGATAAAAGCATCAAGAAATGGACACTTTCCTGTTAACTCATTTAAGTTTTATTTTTTTTTAGAAAAGTCCCCCAAACAGGGGAATGATGACAATATAGCAAGAAAGTAGTGTTGATTCAGACATATACTTTACAATCCATTTCCCACAATTAATTAGAAATGTTAACAATATAGAAGGACCTAAGGGAAAAGCTGCAAACCCCACAGCAGTTGGTACAATCCTTTCCTTAAATACTGGGTAGAATTCACCAGTGAACCTATTTTGACCCTGTGTTTTCCACTTTGGAAGGTTGTTAATTATTGATTCAATTTATTTCATATATATAGGCCTATTCAGATGGTCAGTGTCTTCTTGTGTAAGTTTTGGCATATTGTGTCTTTCAAGGAATTGATCTATTTTTTTCTAGGTTATAAAATTTATGGGCATAGGACTGTTCATGGTATTCTTTTATTATCCTTTTAATGTCCATGGAATCTGCAGTCATATTCCTCTTTCATTTCTTATATTAGTAATTTTGTCTTTTCTTTTTTTCCCTTAGTTAGCCTGGCTACAGGCCTACTGTTTCAATAATATTTTCAAAGAACCAGCTTTTGGTTTTGTGATTTTTTTTCCTATTGATATCCTGTTTTCAATGTCATTGATTTCTGCTAATATTTTATTCTTTTCTTCTGCTTATTCTGGGTTTAATTGCTCTTCTTTTTCTAGTTTTTAAGGTTGGTGCTTATATTATTGACTTTAGATCTTTCTTCTTTTCTAATGTATGGATTCACTGCTACAAATTTCCCTCTAACCAGTACTTTTGCTGCATCTTACAAATTTTGATAAGTTGTATTTTTATTTTCATTTAATTAAAAATATTTTAGAACTTCCTTAGAGATTTCTTCTTTGCTCCATATGTTATTAGAAGTGGGTTGTTTAATCTCTAAGTGTTTTGTGATTTTCCGGCTGTCTTTCTGTTATTGATTTCTAGTTTAATCCCACTGTGGTTGGAGAGAAGATACTGTAGGTTTTGATTCTTTGAAGTTTGTTAAGTTGTTATGCCCCATGATGTGGTTCATCAAAGTAAATATTCCAGGTAAGCTTGAGAAGCATGTGCAACCTGACCCTGTTTAATAGAGTAGTTTATACATGTAAATTATATCTATTTGATCGATTGTGTTGTTGAGTTCAACAACGCCCTTACTGATTATCTGCTGCTGGATCTGTCCATTTCTGATAGAAGGGTGTTTAAGTCTCCAGCAATAATAATGTATTAATCTGTTTCTTTCTGAAGCTCTATCAGTTTTGCCTTACATATTTTGACACTTTGCTGCTAGGTGCAGGTACATTAAGGATTGCTATGTCTTCTTGGAGTATTGACCTCTTTATCACTAAAGAAGTAATGCCTATCTTTATCCTTGATAATTTTCCTTGCTCTGAAGACTTCACTGAAATTAGTATAGTTACTTACACTTTCTTTTGATGAGTAATAACAAGGTATCTCTTTGTCCATTGTTTTACTTTTATTGTATGTTTTACATTTAAAGTAGTTTTTCATAGCAACATATAAGTAGGTCTTTTGATCCAATTTTAACCACTGATGTTTAATGTGATTATTGATATAGTTGGATTAATATCTACCATATTTGTTACCATTTTCTATTCATTGCCCTTGTTATTTGTTCTTTTTTTTTTCTTTTGCTCTTTTTCTGTCGTTTTTGGTTTTAATTGAGCATTTTATATGATTTCATTTTTTCTCCTTTATTAGCATATCAATTTTTTTTTTTTTTTTACTTTTTTCAGTGGTTGCCTTAGAGTTTGTAAATATACATTTACAGAGAAGCCAAATCTGGTTTCAAAAGAAATTATACCACAACATCTATGGTGCAAGTACCTTATAATAACCAGGTATTCCTAATTTCTCCCTCCTGTCTTTGTATCATTTCAGTCATTCATTTTACTATACAGAATCTATCATTATCAATACTTTTTCTTTTTTTTGAGGCAAGGTCTTGCTCTGTTGCCCAGGCTGGAGTGCAGTGGCACGATCTTGGCTAACTGCAACCTCACAGGCTCAAGTGATTCTTATGCCTCAGCCTCTTGAGTAGCTGGGATTACAGGTGTGAACCACTGTGCCAGGCTAATTTTTTGTAGAGATTGAATTTCGTCATTTTGGCCAGGCTGGTCTTGAACTCCTGGCCTCAAGTGATCCATCCACCTTTGACTCTCAAAGTGCTAGGATTATAGGCGTCAGCCACCATGCCCAGCCTCATCAATATGTCTTTGTTACTATTATTTTGAACAAACTATTATCTGTTAAATGAATTAACCATAAAAAAAAAAAGGTTTTTTTTTTTTTTTTGAGATGGAGTCTCACTCTGTCGCCCAGGCTGGAGTTCAGTGGCACAATCTTGGCTCACTGCAATCCCCACCTCCCAGGTTCAAGTGATTTTCTTGCCTCAGCTTCCAGTGATTTTCTTGCCTCAGCTTCCTGAGTAGCTGGGACTACAGGTGTGCACCACCATACCCAGCTAATTTTTGTATTTTTAGTAGAGACAGGGTTTCACTTTGTTGGCCAGGATGGTCCTGATATCTTGACCTTGTGATCTGACCACCTTGGCCTCCCAAAGTTCTGGGATTACAGGTGTGAGCCACCATGCTCGGACAAAAATAAGAGTTTTTATTTTACGTTCACTTATTCCTTCTCTAATGATCTTCCTTTATGTAAATCCAAGTTTCTAACTTAGTTTATTTTCCTTTTCTCTGAAGAACTTTTAGCATTGCTCTCAAGGCAAGTCTACTGGCAAAAAAAAATCCTTCAATTTTTGTTGGAGAAAGTATTTCTCTTTCATTTTTGAAGGACCCTCTTGGAGCATATAGAATATAAGCTTGGTAGTTATTCTATCAATACTTTAAATATTTCTCTTCACTGTTCTTACTCGCATGGTTTCTGAGAAGTTAAGTATAATTCTAATTTTTGTCTTTCTATAAGTAAGCTGTTCTTTTCCTTTGGATTCTTCAAGACTTTTTTTTTTCACCTATGATTTTCTTCAGTTTGAGTATGATATGTCTAGGTATAGTGTTGTTTTGGGATTTATCTGGCTTGGTGTACTCTGAGCTTTATGGATCTGTGGTTGGGTGTCTGATATTAATTTAGAGAAGATTCTCAGATATTATTGTTTCAAATATTTCTCTCTCTCTTCTCATTCTGATATTCCCATTACATGGATGTTACACCATTTGTAGTTGTTCCATTGTACTTGGATATTTTGTGGGCCGATTTCCAGTCTTTTTTCTTTTTGCATTTCAGTTTTAGAAGTTTCTATTGACATGTCCTCAAACTTAAAGATTCTTTGTCTAATGAGCCTATTAAAAACGTTCTTCATTTCTATGATCATGTTTTTGATCTCTGGTATTTCTTTTTCATTCCTTCTTAGAATTTACATACCTCTGTTCACATTACCCATCTGTTCTTGCATGTAATCTACTTTTTCCATTAGTGCTCTTAGCATATTAATCATAGTTGTCTTAAATTCCCTGTCTGATAATTCCAGCATGCCTGCCATGTCTCGCTCTCTTTCTGATGCTTATGTAGTTTCTTCAAATTGTGTTTTTTGCCTTTTAGTATGCCCTGCAATTTTAGGACATGTTGTAGTGGGTAAAAGGATCTGCAATAAATACAGCTTTGCTAATGTGGTAGTAAGATGTTTGGGAAAGGGAAGTGTTCTATAGTCCTATGATTAGGTCTCAGTCTTTAGGGAGCCTGCTGCCCAGCTTAGGCATGACAGGATGGCCAGAGGAAGCTGGAATTGGGTATTTCTCTTCCTCCACATGAAATGCACCAGTGGGTGGGAGTTGGGTATTTCCCTTTCCTAAGGTCAGTTGAGTCTGATAAAACCTCAATAGGCTCTGGTATCTCTTGAGGGCAAGCCTTGTTAAGAAGAATAGAATGCTCTGGAGTGTTTCAAAATGGCTGCTTTTCTTCTCCCACTGTTGGAAGCCTGAGATCTTTCTCTGGTCTTACTGCGAGAACCTGGTAGAGCTCTGGGAGGTAAAATTCACAAAAGTATGAGTCCCTGAGACTGGGCCCTCTTGGAGTTCTTAGCTCTCTGACTTGTCCACACCTAGC